>NC_000001.11:121916721-121923482 GCF_000001405.40 Homo sapiens | reverse complement strand
CTTGAGGCCTTTGTAGAAAGAAAAGACTTTATTTAAAAACAGACGGAGCATTCTCAGAAATCTTTGCGATGATGAGTTTACTCACAGAGTGAGCATATCTTTGATGCGCATTTTCAAACACACTTTTGTGGATATGCAGTGGATTTGGGACTTCTCTGAGAATTTCGTGGAAACGGGATAAACCACACGTAACTGAAGAGGAACATTCTCAGAAGTTCTTGGTGATGTTGGCATTCAACTGACAGAGTTGAACCTTCCCTTGTGAGTTCAGGTTGAAACGCTCTTTTCGTAGTATCTGCAAGTGGAGGTTTGGAACGCTTGAGTCCTACGGTAGTACAGGAAACAGCTTCATGTAAAAACTGGACAGAAGCATTCTCAGAAAATACTTTGCGATGATTGAGTTCAACTCACAGAGCTGAACATTCCTTTGGGTGGAGCATTTTTGAAACACACTTTTTGTAGACTCTACAGGTGGATATTTGGACCTCTCAGAGGATTTCGTTGGAAACGGGATAACGTCACCTAACTAAAGAGAAGCTTTCGCAGAAACATCCTTCTGACGTTGGCCTTCAAAGTCCAGAGTTGAGCCTTCCTTTGGTAGTACACGTTTGAAACACTCTTTTTGGAGGACCTGCAAGTGGATATTTGGAGCACTTTGTGGCCTTCGTTCGAAACGGCTATATCTTCACATAAAATCTAGACAGAAGCCTTCTCAGAAACTTCTCTGTGATGATTGCATGCAACTCACAGAGTTGAACATTCCTTTTGATGGAGCAGTTTTGAAACTCTCTTTTGCTAGCATCTGCAAATGGATAGGTGGAACTCTGTGAAGACTTCTTTGGAAACGGGAATATCCTCACGTAAAAAGTAAACAGAAGCATTCTCAGAAACTCCTTTGTGAGGCTTGTGTTCAACTCCCAGAGTATAACATTGCTTTTCATAGAGCAGTTTTGAAACATTCTTTTCGTAGAGCCTCCAAGTGGACATTTGGAGCGCTTTCAGGCCTGCGGTGGAAAAGGAAATATCTTCACATAAAATCTAGAGAGAAGCATTGTCAGAAACTTCTTGGTGATGATTGCATTCAACTCACGGAGCTGAGGATTCCTTTTGATGCAGCAGTTTGGAAACACTCTTTCGGTGGAATCTGCAAGCGGATATGTGGACCTCTTTGAACATTTCGATGGAAAAGGGATAATCTTCCCGTAAAAGCTAAACGGAAGCATGCTCAGGAACTTCCTTGTGATGTTTGCATTCAACTCACAGAGTTGTACTTTCCTTTTGATAGAGCAGCTTTGAAACCCCCTCTTTCTAGCATCGGCAAGGGGACATTTGGAGGGCTTCGAGGCCTGGGGTGGAAAAGGAAATATCTTCTCATCAAAGCTACATGGAAGCATTCTCAGAAGCTGCTTTGTGATGATTGCATTCAAGTCACCGAGTTGAACATCCCCTTTGATGGGGCCGTTTGGAAACACACCATTGGTAGAATCTGAAAGGGGAGATTTGGACCGCTTTGAGGCCTATGGCAGTAGAGGATATAACTGCACATAAAAGCGAGACAGGAGCATTCCCAGGAAACGCTTTGTGACGATTGAGTTCAACTCACAGAGCTCAACATTCGTTTGGGTGGAGCAGTTTCCAAACACACTTTGTGTAGAATCTGCAAGTGGAGATTTGGACCGCTCTGAGGATTTCGTTGGATACGGGAGAAAAGTCACCTACGTAAACAGAAGCATTCTCAGATCCTTCATCGTGATGCTTGCATTCAACTCACAGTGTTGAACCTTTCTCTGACAGTTCAGGTTTGAAACACTCCTTCTGCAGAATCTGCAAGTGGAGATTTGGACCTCCTTGAGGCCTATCGTAGTAAAGGAAAGAACTTCATCTAAAAACAAGACGGAAGCATTCTCAGAAAATTCTTTGCGATGATTGAGTTTAACTCACAGAGCTGAGCATATCTTTTGATGGCGCATTTTCCAAACACACCTTTTGTGGAATATGCAAGTGGATTTTGGGACTTCTCTGAGAATTTCGTTGGAAACGGGATAAACCTCACGTAACTGAAGACGAACATTCTCAGAAGTTCTTGGTGATGTTGGCATTCAACTGACAGAGTTGAACCTTCCCTTGTGAGTTCAGGTTGAAACGCTCTTTTCGTAGTATCTGCAAGTGGAGGTTTGGAACGCTTTGAGGCCTACGGTAGTAAAGGAAACAGCTTCATGTAAACACTGGACAGAAGCATTCTCAGAAAATACTTTGGGATGATTGAGTTCAACTCACAGAGCTGAACATTCCTTTGGGTGGAGCAGTTTTGAAACACACTTTTTGTAGACTCTGCAGGTGGATATTTGGACCTCTCTGAGGATTTCGTTGGAAACGGGATAACGTCACCTAACTAAACAGAAGCTTTCGCAGAAACATCCTTCTGACGTTGGCATTCAAAGTCCAGAGTTGAGCCTTCCTTTGGTAGTTCACGTTTGAAACACTCTTTTTGGAGGACCTGCAAGTGGATATTTGGAGCACTTTGTGGCCTTCGTTCGAAACGGCTATATCTTCACATAAAATCTAGACAGAAGCCTTCTCAGAAACTTCTCTGTAATGATTGCATGCAACTCACAGAGTTGAACATTCCTTTTGATGGAGCAGTTTTGAAACTCTCTTTTGCTAGCATCTGCAAATGGATAGGTGGAACTCTGTGAAGTCTTCTTTGGAAACGGGAATATCCTCACGTAAAAAGTAAACAGAAGCATTCTCAGAAACTCCTTTGTGAGGCTTGTGTTCAACTCCCAGAATATAACATTTCTTTTCATAGAGCAGTTTTGAAACATTCTTTTCGTAGAGCCTCCAAGTGGACATTTGGAGCGCTTTCAGGCCTGCGGTGGAAAAGGAAATATCTTCACATAAAAACTAGAGAGAAGCATTGTCAGAAACTTCTTGGTGATGATTGCATTCAACTCACGGAGCTGAGGATTCCTTTGGATGCAGCAGTTTGGAAACACTCTTTCGGTGGAATCTGCAAGCGGATATGTGGACCTCTTTGAACATTTCGATGGAAAAGGGATAATCTTCCCGTAAAAGCTAAACGGAAGCACGCTCAGGAACTTCCTTGTGATGTTTGCATTCAACTCACAGAGTTGTACTTTCCTTTTGATAGAGCAGCTTTGAAACCCCCTCTTTCTAGCATCTGCAAGGGGACATTTGGGGGGCTTCGAGGCCTGGGGTGGAAAAGGAAATATCTTCTCATCAGAGCTACATGGAAGCATTCTCAGAAGCTGCTTTGTGATGATTGCATTCAAGTCACCGAGTTGAACATCCCCTTTGATGGGGCCGTTTGGAAACACACTTTTGGTAGAATCTGAAAGGGGAGATTTGGACAGCTTTGAGGCCTATGGCAGTAGAGGATATAACTGCACATAAAAGCGAGACAGGAGCATTCCCAGGAAACGCTTTGTGACCATTGAGTTCAACTCACAGAGCTGAACATTCCTTTGGGTGGAGCAGTTTCCAAACACACTTTGTGTAGAATCTGCAAGTGGAGATTTGGACCGCTCTGAGGATTTCGTTGGATACGGGAGAAAAGTCACCTACGTAAACAGAAGCATTCTCAGAACCTTCTTCGTGATGCTTGCATTCAACTCACAGTGTTGAACCTTTCTCTGACAGTTCAGGTTTGAAACACTCCTTCTGCAGAATCTGCAACTGGAGATTTGGACCTCCTTGAGGCCTATCGTAGTAAAGGAAAGAACTTCATCTAAAAACAAGACGGTAGCATTCTCAGAAAATTCTTTGCGATGATTGAGTTTAACTCACAGAGCTGAGCATATCTTTTGATGGCGCATTTTCCAAACACACCTTTTGTGGAATATGCAAGTGGATTTTGGGACTTCTGTGAGAATTTCGTTGGAAACGGGATAAACCTCACGTAACTGAAGAGGAACATTCTCAGAAGTTCTTGGTGATGTTGGCATTCAACTGACAGAGTTGAACCTTCCCTTGTGAGTTCAGGTTGAAACGCTCTTTTCGTAGTATCTGCAAGTGGAGGTTTGGAACGCTTTGAGGCCTACGGTAGTAAAGAAAACAGCTTCATGTAAAAACTGGACAGAAGCATTCTCAGAAAATACTTTGGGACGATGAGTTCAAACTCACAGAGCTGAACATTCCTTTGGGTGGAGCAGTTTGGAAACACACTTTTTGTAGACTCTGCAGGTGGATATTTGGACCTCTCTGAGGATTTCGTTGGAAACGGGATAACGTCACCTAACTAAACAGAAGCTTTTGCAGAAACATCCTTCTGACGTTGGCCTTCAAAGTCCAGAGTTGAGCCTTCCTTTGGTAGTTCACGTTTGAAACACTCTTTTTGGAGGACCTGCAAGTGGATATTTGGAGCACTTTGTGGCCTTCGTTCGAAACGGCTATATCTTCACATAAAATCTAGACAGAAGCCTTCTCAGAAACTTCTCTGTGATGATTGCATGCAACTCACAGAGTTGAACATTCCTTTTGATGGAGCAGTTTTGAAACTCTCTTTTGCTAGCATCTGCAAATGGATAGGTGGAACTCTGTGAAGACTTCTTTAGAAACGGGAATATCCTCACGTAAAAAGTAAACAGAAACATTCTCAGAAACTCCTTTGTGAGGCTTGTGTTCAACTCCCAGAGTATAACATTGCTTTTCATAGAGCAGTTTTGAAACATTCTTTTCGTAGAGCCTCCAAGTGGACATTTGGAGCGCTTTCAGGCCTGCGGTGGAAAAGGAAATATCTTCACATAAAAACTAGAGAGAAGCATTGTCAGAAACTTCTTGGTGATGATTGCATTCAACTCACGGAGCTGAGGATTCCTTTGGATGCAGCAGTTTGGAAACACTCTTTCGGTGGAATCTGCAAGCGGATATGTGGACCTCTTTGAACATTTCGATGGAAAAGGGATAATCCTCCCGTAAAAGCTAAACAGAAGCATGCTCAGGAACTTCCTTGTGATGTTTGCATTCAACTCACAGAGTTGTACTTTCCTTTTGATAGAGCAGCTTTGAAACCCCCTCTTTCTAGCATCTGCAAGGGGACATTTGGGGGGCTTCGAGGTCTGGGGTGGAAAAGGAAATATCTTCTCATCAGAGCTACATGGAAGCATTCTCAGAAGCTGCTTTGTGATGATTGCATTCAAGTCACCGAGTTGAACATCCCCTTTGATGGGGCCGTTTGGAAACACACTTTTGGTAGAATCTGAAAGGGGAGATTTGGACCGCTTTGAGACCTATGGCAGTAGAGGATATAACTGCACATAAAAGCGAGACAGGAGCATTCCCAGGAAACGCTTTGTGACCATTGAGTTCAACTCACAGAGCTGAACATTCCTTTGGGTGGAGCAGTTTCCAAACACACTTTGTGTAGAATCTGCAAGTGGAGATTTGGACCGCTCTGAGGATTTCGTTGGATACGGGAGAAAAGTCACCTACGTAAACAGAAGCATTCTCAGAACCTTCTTCGTGATGCTTGCATTCAACTCACAGTGTTGAACCTTTCTCTGACAGTTCAGGTTTGAAACACTCCTTCTGCAGAATCTGCAAGTGGAGATTTGGACCTCCTTGAGGCCTATCGTAGTAAAGGAAAGAACTTCATCTAAAAACAAGACGGAAGCATTCTCAGAAAATTCTTTGCAATGATTGAGTTTAACTCACAGAGCTGAGCATATCTTTTGATGGCGCATTTTCCAAACACACCTTTTGTGGAATATGCAAGTGGATTTTGGGACTTCTCTGAGAATTTCGTTGGAAACGGGATAAACCTCACGTAACTGAAGAGAACATTCTCAGAACTTCTTGGTGATGTTGGCATTCACTGACAGAGTGAACCTTCCCTGTGAGTTCAGGTGAACGCTCTTTCGTATATCTGCAGTGGAGGTTGGACGCTTGAGCCTACGTAGTAAGAACAGCTCATGTAAAACTGGACGAGCATCTCAAAAATACTTTGGGATGATTGAGTTCAACTCACAGAGCTGAACATTCCTTTGGGTGGAGCAGTTTTGAAACACANCTTTTTGTAGACTCTGCAGTTGGATATTTGGACCTCTCTGAGGATTTCGTTGGAAACGGGATAACGTCACCTAACTAAACAGAAGCTTTTGCAGAAACATCCTTCTGACGTTGGCCTTCAAAGTCCAGAGTTGAGCCTTCCTTTGGTAGTTCACGTTTGAAACACTCTTTTTGGAGGACCTGCAAGTGGATATTTGGAGCACTTTGTGGCCTTCGTTCGAAACGGCTATATCTTTACATAAAATCTAGACAGAAGCCTTCTCAGAAACTTCTCTGTGATGATTGCATGCAACTCACAGAGTTGAACATTCCTTTTGATGGAGCAGTTTTGAAACTCTCTTTTGCTAGCATCTGCAAATGGATAGGTGGAACTCTGTGAAGACTTCTTTGGAAACGGGAATATCCTCACGTAAAAAGTAAACAGAAGCATTCTCAGAAACTCCTTTGTGAGGCTTGTGTTCAACTCCCAGAGTATAACATTGCTTTTCATAGAGCAGTTTTGAAACATTCTTTTCGTAGAGCCTCCAAGTGGACATTTGGAGCGCTTTCAGGTCTGCGGTGGANNAGGANATATCTTCACATAAAAACTAGAGAGAAGCATTGTCAGAAACTTCTTGGTGATGATTGCATTTCACTCACGGAGCTGAAGATTCCTTGNATGCAGCAGTTGGAAACACTCTTNNCGTGGATCTNGCAGCGATATGTGACTCTTTGACATTCGATGAAAGGNNATA
>NC_000001.11:121914162-121916621 GCF_000001405.40 Homo sapiens | reverse complement strand
TTCACTCCGGAGCTGAGGATTCCTTTGGATGCAGCAGTTTGGAAACACTCTTTCGGTGGAATCTGCAAGCGGATATGTGGACCTCTTTGAACATTTCGATGGAAAAGGGATAATCTTCCCGTAAAAGCTAAACGGAAGCATGCTCAGGAACTTCCTTGTGATGTTTGCATT
Source organism: Homo sapiens (assembly GCF_000001405.40). Taxonomy (NCBI): domain Eukaryota; kingdom Metazoa; phylum Chordata; class Mammalia; order Primates; family Hominidae; genus Homo; species Homo sapiens. Next base: position 121,916,450 of record NC_000001.11, on the reverse strand, counting down.
CAACTCACAGAGTTGTACTTTCCTTTTGATAGAGCAGCTTTGAAACCCCCTCTTTCTAGCATCTGCAAGGGGACATTTGGAGGGCTTCGAGGCCTGGGGTGGAAAAGGAAATATCTTCTCATCAAAGCTACATGGAAGCATTCTCAGAAGCTGCTTTGTGATGATTGCATTCAAGTCACCGGGTTGAACATCCCCTTTGATGGGGCCGTTTGGAAACACACTTTTGGTAGAATCTGGAAGGGGAGATTTGGACCACTTTGAGGCCTATGGCAGTAGAGGTTATAACTGCACATAAAAGCGAGACAGGAGCATTCCCAGGAAACGCTTTGTGACCATTGAGTTCAACTCACAGAGCTGAACATTCCTTTGGGTGGAGCAGTTTCCAAAAACACTTTGTGCAGAATCTGCAAGTGGAGATTTGGACCGCTCTGAGGATTTCGTTGGATACGGCAGAAAAGTCACCTACGTAAACAGAAGCATTCTCAGAACCTTCTTCGTGATGCTTGCATTCAACTCACAGTGTTGAACCTTTCTCTGACAGTTCAGGTTTGAAACACTCCTTCTGCAGAATCTGCAAGTGGAGATTTGGACCTCCTTGAGGCCTATCATAGTAAAGGAAAGAACTTCATCTAAAAACAAGACGGAAGCATTCTCAGAAAATTCTTTGCGATGATTGAGTTTAACTCACAGAGCTGAGCATATCTTTTGATGGCGCATTTTCCAAACACACCTTTTGTGGAATATGCAAGTGGATTTTGGGACTTCTCTGAGAATTTCTTTGGAAACGGGATAAACCTCACGTAACTGAAGAGGAACATTCTCAGAAGTTCTTGGTGATGTTGGCATTCAACTGACAGAGTTGAACCTTCCCTTGTGAGTTCAGGTTGAAACGCTCTTTTCGTAGTATCTGCAAGTGGAGGTTTGGAACGCTTTCAGGCCTGCGGTAGTAAAGGAAACAGCTTCATGTAAAAAGTGGACAGAAGCATTGTCAGAAAATACTTTGGGATGATTCAGTTCAACTCACAGAGCTGAACATTCCTTTGGGTGGAGCAGTTTTGAAACACACTTTTTGTAGACTCTGCAGGTGGATATTTGGACCTCTCTGAGGATTTCGTTGGAGACGGGATAACGTCACCTAACTAAACAGAAGCTTTCCCAGAAACATCCTTCTGACGTTGGCATTCAAAGTCCAGAGTTGAGCCTTCCTTTGGTAGTTCACGTTTGAAACACTCTTTTTGGAGGACCTGCAAGTGGATATTTGGAGCACTTTGTGGCCTTCGTTCGAAACGGCCATATCTTCACATAAAATCTAGACAGAAGCATTCTCAGAAACTTCTCTGTGATGATTGCATGCAACTCACAGAGTTAAACATTCCTTTTGATGGAGCAGTTTTGAAACTCTCTTTTGCTAGCATCTGCATATGGATAGGTGGAACTCTGTGAAGACTTCTTTGGAAACGGGAATATCCTCACGTAAAAAGTAAACAGAAGCATTCTCAGAAACTCCTTTGTGAGGCTTGTGTTCAACTCCCCGAGTATAACATTGCTTTTCATAGAGCAGTTTTGAAACATTCTTTTCATAGAGCCTCCAAGTGGACATTTGGAGCGCTTTCAGGCCTGCGGTGGAAAAGGAAATATCTTCACATAGAAACTAGAGAGAAGCATTGTCAGAAACTTCTTGGTGATGATTGCATTCAACTCACGGAGCTGAGGATTCCTTTTGATGCAGCAGTTTGGAAACACTCTTTCGGTGGAATCTGCAAGCGGATATGTGGACCTCTTTGAACATTTCGATGGAAAAGGGATAATCTTCCCGTAAAAGCTAAACGGAAGCATGCTCAGGAACTTCCTTGTGATGTTTGCATTCAACTCACAGAGTTGTACTTTCCTTTTGATAGAGCAGCTTTGAAACCCCCTCTTTCTAGCATCTGCAAGGGGACATTTGGAGGGCTTCGAGGCCTGGGGTGGAAAAGGAAATATCTTCTCATCAAAGCTACATGGAAGCATTCTCAGAAGCTGCTTTGTGATGATTGCATTCAAGTCACCGGGTTGAACATCCCCTTTGAGGGGGGCGTTTGGAAACACCTTTTTGGGAAATCTGAAAGGGGAAATTTGGACGCTTTGAGGCTATGGCAGTAAAGGATTTAACTGCCCAGAAAAGCGAAACGGGACATTCCCAGAACCCTTTTTGGACATGGAGTTCAACTCCCAAGCCGAAAATTCTTTGGGGTGAGCAGTTTCCAAACACATTTTGGTAGATCTTCNAGTGGAATTTGGACCCTTTGAGG
>NC_000001.11:121911219-121914062 GCF_000001405.40 Homo sapiens | reverse complement strand
TGGATATTGGGACTTCTCCGAGAATTTCGTTGGAAACGGGATAAACCTCACATTACTGAAGAGGAACATTCTCAGAACTTCTTTGTGATGTTGACATTCAACTGACAGAGGTGAACCTTCCCTTGTGAGTTCAGGTTGAAACGCTCTTTTCGTAGCATCTGCAAGTGGAGATTTGGAACGCTTTGAGGCCTACGGTAGTAAAGGAAACAGCTTCACGTAAAAACTGGACAGAAGCATTCTCAGGAAATACTTTGGGATGATTGAGTTCAACTCACAGAGCTGAACATTCCTTTGGGTGGAGCAGTTTTGAAACACACTTTTTGTAGACTCTGCAGGTGGATATTTGGACCTCTCTGAGGATTTCGTTGGAAATGGGATAACGTCGCCTAACTAAACAGAGGCTTTCGCGGAAACATCTTTCTGACGTTGGCATTCAAAGTCCACAGTTGAGCCTTCCTTTGGTAGTTCACGTTTGAAACACTCTTTTTGGAGGACCTGCAAGTGGATATTGGAGCACTTTGTGGCCTTCGTTCGAAACGGCTATATCTTCACATAAAATCTAGACAGAAGCCTTCTCAGAAACTTCTCTGTGATGATTGCATGCAACTCACAGAGTTGAACATTCCTTTTGATAGAGCAGTTTTGAACTCTCTTTTGCTAGCATCTGCAAATGGATAGGTGGAACTCTGTGAAGACTTCTTTGGAAACGGGAATATCCTCACGTAAAAAGTAAACAGAAGCATTCTCAGAAACTCCTTTGTGAGGCTTGTGTTCAACTCCCAGAGTATAACATTGCTTTTCATGGAGCAGTTTTGAAACATTCTTTTCGTAGAGCCTCCAAGTGGACATTTGGAGCGCTTTCAGGCCTGTGGTGGATAAGGAAATATCTTCACATAAAAACTAGAGAGAAGCATTCTCAGAAACTTCTTGGTGATGATTGCATTCAACTCACGGAGCTGAGGATTCCTTTTGATGCAGCAGTTTGGAAACACTCTTTCGGTGGAATCTGCAAGCGGATATGTAGACCTCTTTGAACATTCCGATGGAAAAGGGATAATCTTCCCGTAAAAGCTAAACGGAAGCATGCTCAGGAACTTCTTTGTGATGTTTGCATTCAACTCGCAGAGTTGTACTTTCCTTTTGATAGAGCAGCTTTGAAACCCTCTCTTTCTAGCATCTGCAAGGGGACATTTGGAGGGCTTCGAGGCCTGGGGTGGAAAAGGAAATATCTTCTCATGAAAGCTACATGGAAGCATTCTCAGAAGCTGCTTTGTGATGATTGCTTTCAAGTCACCGAGCTGAACATTCCCTTTGATGGAGCCGTTTGGAAACACACTTTCGGTAGAATCTGAAAGGGGAGATTTGGACCGCTTTGAGGCCTATGGCAGTAGAGGATAAAACTGCACATAAAAACGAGACAGTAGCATTCCCAGGAAACACTTTGTGACGATAGAGTTCAACTCACGGAGCTGAACATTGCTTTGGATGGAGCAGTTTCCAAACACACTTTGTGTAGAATCTGCAAGTGGAGATTCGGACCGCACTGAGGATTTCGTTGGATATGGGAGAGAACTCACCTATGTAAACGGAAGCATTCTCAGAACCTTCTTCGTGATGCTTGCCTTCAACTCACAGTGTTGAACCTTTCTCTGACAGTTCAGGTTTGAAACACTCCTTCTGCAGAATCTGCAAGTGGAGATTTGGACCTCTTTGAGGCCTGTCGTAGTAAAGGAAAGAACTTCATCTAAAAACAAGACAGAAGCATTCTCAGAAAATTCTTTGCGATGATTGAGTTTAACTCACAGAGCTGAGCAGGCCTTTTGATGGAGCATTTTCAAAACACACGTTTTGTAGTATATGCAAGTGGATATTGGGACTTCTCCGAGAATTTCGTTGGAAACGGGATAAACCTCACATAACTGAAGAGGAACATTCTCAGAACTTCTTTGTGATGTTGACATTCAACTGACAGAGGTGAACCTTCCCTTGTGAGTTCAGGTTGAAACGCTCTTTTCGTAGCATCTGCAAGTGGAGATTTGGAACGCTTTGAGGCCTACGGTAGTAAAGGAAACAGCTTCATGTAAAAACTGGACAGAAGCATTCTCAGAAACTACTTTGGGATGATTGAGTTCAACTCACAGAGCTGAACATTCCTTTGGGTGGAGCAGTTTTGAAACACACTTTTTGTAGACTCTGCAGGTGGATATTTGGACCTCTCTGAGGATTTCGTTGGAAACGGGATAACGTCGCCTAACTAAACAGAAGCTTTCGCAGAAACATCTTTCCGACGTTGGCATTCAAACTCCAGAGTTGAGCCTTCCTTTGGTAGTTCACGTTTGAAACACTCTTTTTGGAGGACCTGCAAGTGGATATTTGGAGCACTTTGTGGCCTTCGTTCGAAAAGGCTATATCTTCACATAAAATCTAGACAGAAGCCTTCTCAGAAACTTCTCTGTGATGATTGCATGCAACTCACAGAGCTGAACATTCCTTTGGGTGGAGCAGTTTTGAAACACACTTTTTGTAGACTCTGCTGGTGGATATTTGGACCTCTCTGAGGATTTCGTTGGAAACGGGATAACGTCACCTAACTAAACAGAAGCTTTCGCAGAAACATCTTTCTGACGTTGGCATTCAAAGTCCACAGTTGAGCCTTCCTTTGGTAGTTCACGTTTGAAACACTCTTTTTGGAGGACCTGCAAGTGGATATTGGAGCACATTGTGGTCTTCGTTCGAAACAGCTATATCTTCACATAAAATCTAGACAGAAGCCTTCTCAGAAACTTCTCTGTGATGATTGCATGCAACTCACAGAGTGAACATCCTTATGAGCGTCTCACATT
>NC_000001.11:121902442-121911119 GCF_000001405.40 Homo sapiens | reverse complement strand
AGTTAAAAGTAACAGAAGCATTTCGGAACTCCTTGGGGAGCTTGGGTCCACTTCCAAGAGTTTACAATAGCTTTTCATGGAGCAGTTTTGAAACATTCTTTTCGTAGACCCTCCCAGTGGACATTGGAGCCCTTTCAGCCTGTGTGGGATAAGAAATATCTTCACATAAAAACTAGAGAGAAGCATGTCAGAAAACTTCTGNGTGATGATTGCATTCAACTCACGGAGCTGAGGATCCTTTTGATGCAGCAGGTTGGAAACACTCTTTCGGTGAATCTGCAAGCGGATATGTGGACCTCTTTGAACATGNCGATGGAAAAGGGATATCTTCCCGTAAAAGCTAAACGGAAGCATGCTCAGGAACTTCTTTGTGATGTTTGCATTCAACTCGCAGAGTTGTACTTTCCTTTTGATAGAGCAGCTTTGAAACCCTCTCTTTCTAGCATCTGCAAGGGGACATTTGGAGGGCTTCGAGTCCTGGGGTGGAAAAGGAAATATCTTCTCATCAAAGCTACATGGAAGCATTCTCAGAAGCTGCTTTGTGATGATTGCTTTCAAGTCACCGAGCTGAACATTCCCTTTGATGGAGCCTTTTGGAAACACACTTTTGGTAGAATCTGAAAGGGGATATTTGGACCGCTTTGAGGCCTGTGGCAGTAGAGGATATAACTGCACATAAAAACGAGACAGTAGCATTCCCAGGAAACACTTTGTGACGATTGAGTTCAACTCACGGAGCTGAACATTCCTTTGGATGGAGCAGTTTCCAAACACACTTTGTGTAGAATCTGCAAGTGGAGATTCGGACCGCTCTGAGGATTTCGTTGGATACGGGAGAGAACTCACCTACGTAAACGGAAGCATTCTCAGAACCTTCTTCGTGATGCTTGCATTCAACTCACAGTGTTGAACCTTTCTCTGACAGTTCAGGTTTGAAACACTCCTTCTGCAGAAAATGCAAGTGGAGATTTGGACCTCTTTGAGGCCTGTCGTAGTAAAGGAAAGAACTTCATCTAAAAACAAGACAGAAGCATTCTCAGAAAATTCTTTGCGATGATTGAGTTTAACTCACAGAGCTGAGCAGGTCTTTTGATGGAGCATTTTCAAAACACACGTTTTGTAGAATATGCAAGTGGATATTGGGACTTCTCTGAGAATTTCGTTGGAAACGGGATAAACCTCACATAACTGAAGAGGAACATTCTCAGAACTTCTTTGTGATGTTGACATTCAACTGACAGAGGTGAACCTTCCCTTGTGAGTTCAGGTTGAAACACTCTTTTCGTAGCATCTGCAAGTGGAGATTTGGAACGCTTTGAGGCCTACGGTAGTAAAGGAAACAGCTTCATGTAAAAACTGGACAGAAGCATTCTCAGAAAATACTTTGGGATGATTGAGTTCAACTCACAGAGCTGAACATTCCTTTGGGTGGAGCAGTTTTGAAACACACTTTTTGTAGACTCGGCTGGTGGATATTTGGACCTCTCTGAGGATTTCGTTGGAAACGGGATAACGTCGCCTAACTAAACAGAAGCTTTCGCAGGAACATCTCTCTGACGTTGGCATTCAAAGTCCACAGTTGAGCCTTCCTTTGGTAGTTCACGTTTGAAACACTCTTTTTGGAGGACCTGCAAGTGGATATTTGGAGCACTTTGTGGCCTTCGTTCGAAACGGCTATATCTTCACATAAAATCTAGACAGAAGCCTTCTCAGAAACTTCTCTGTGATGATTGCATGCAACTCACAGAGTGGAACATTCCTTTTGATAGAGCAGTTTTGAAACTCTCTTTTGCTAGCATCTGCAAATGGATAGGTGGAACTCTGTGAAGACTTCTTTGGAAACGGGAATATCCTCACGTAAAAAGTAAACAGAAGCATTCTCAGAAACTCCTTTGTGAGGCTTGTGTTCAACTCCCAGAGTATAACATTGCTTTTCATGGAGCAGTTTTGAAACATTCTTTTCGTAGAGCCTCCATGTGGACATTTGGAGCCCTTTCAGGCCTGTGGTGGATAAGGAAATATCTTCACATAAAAACTAGAGAGAAGCATTGTCAGAAACTTCTTGGTGATGATTGCATTCAACTCACGGAGCTGAGGATTCCTTTTGATGCAGCAGTTTGGAAACACTCTTTCGGTGGAATCTGCAAGCGGATATGTGGACCTCTTTGAACATTGCGATGGAAAAGGGATAATCTTCCCATAAAAGCTAAACTGAAGCATGCTCAGGAACTTCTTTGTGATGTTTGCATTCAACTCGCAGAGTTGTACTTTCCTTTTGATAGAGCAGCTTTGAAACCCTCTCTTTCTAGCATCTGCAAGGGGACATTTGGAGGGCTTCGAGGCCTGGGGTGGAAAAGGAAATATCTTCTCATCAAAGCTACATGGAAGCATTCTCAGAAGCTGCTTTGTGATGATTGCTTTCAAGTCACCGAGCTGAACATTCCCTTTGATGGAGCCGTTGGGAAACACACTTTTGGTAGAATCTGAAAGGGGAGATTTGGACCGCTTTGAGGCCTATGGCAGTAGAGGATATAACTGCACATAAAAACGAGACAGTAGCATTCCCAGGAAACACTTTGTGACGATTGAGTTCACCTCACGGAGCTGAACATTCCTTTGGATGGAGCAGTTTCCAAACACACTTTGTGTAGAATCTGCAAGTGGAGATTCGGACCGCTCTGAGGATTTCATTGGATACGGGAGAGAACTCACCTACGTAAACGGAAGCATTCTCAGAACCTTCTTCGTGATGCTTGCATTCAACTCACAGTGTTGAACCTTTCTCTGACAGTTCAGGTTTGAAACACTCCTTCTGCAGAATCTGCAAGTGGAGATTTGGACCTCTTTGAAGCCTGTCGTAGTAAAGGAAAGAACTTCATCTAAAAACAAGACAGAAGCATTCTCAGAAAATTCTTTGCGATGATTGAGTTTAACTCACAGAGCTGAGCAGGTCTTTTGATGGAGCATTTTCAAAACACACGTTTTGTATAATATGCAAGTGGATATTGGGACTTCTCTGAGAATTTCGTTGGAAACGGGATAAACCTCACATAACTGAAGAGGAACATTCTCAGAACTTCTTTGTGATGTTGACATTCAACTGACAGAGGTGAACCTTCCCTTGTGAGTTCAGGTTGAAACGCTCTTTTCGTAGCATCTGCAAGTGGAGATTTGGAACGCTTTGAGGCCTACGGTAGTAAAGGAAACAGCCTCATGTAAAAACTGGACAGAAGCATTCTCAGGAAATACTTTGGGATGATTGAGTTCAACTCACAGAGCTGAACATTACTTTGGGTGGAGCAGTTTTGAAACACACTTTTGCAGACTCTGCTGGTGGATATTNGGACCTCTCCTAGGATTTCGTTGGAAACGAGATAACGTCGCCTAACTAAACAGAAGTTTTCGCAGAAACATCTTTCTGACGTTGGCATTCAAAGTCCAGAGTTGAGCCTTCCTTTGGTAGTTCACGTTGAAACACTCTTTTTGGAAGTCCTGCAAGTGGATATTTGGAGCACTTTGTGGCCTTCATTCGAAACGGCTATATCTTCACATAAAATCTAGACAGAAGCCTTCTCAGAAACTTCTCTGTGATGATTGCATGCAATTCACAGAGTTGAACATTCCTTTTGATAGAGCAGTTTTGAAACTCTCTTTTGCTAGCATCTGCAAATGGATAGGTGGAACTCTGTGAAGACTTCTTTGGAAACGGGAATATCCTCACGTAAAAAGTAAACAGAAGCATTCTCTGAAACTCCTTTGTGAGGCTTGTGTTCAACTCCCAGAGTATAACATAGCTTTTCATGGAGCAGTTTTGAAACATTCTTTTCGTAGAGCCTCCAAGTGGACATTTGGAGCCCTTTCAGGCCTGTGGTGGATAAGGAAATATCTTCACATAAAAACTAGAGAGAAGCATTGTCAGAAACTTCTTGGTGATGATTGCATTCAACTCACGGAGCTGAGGATTCCTTTTGATGCAGCAGGTTGGAAACACTCTTTCGGTGGAATCTGCAAGCGGATATGTGGACCTCTTTGAACATTGCGATGGAAAAGGGATAATCTTCCCGTAAAAGCTAAACGGAAGCATGCTCAGGAACTTCTTTGTGATGTTTGCATTCAACTCGCAGAGTTGTACTTTCCTTTTGATAGAGCAGCTTTGAAACCCTCTCTTTCTAGCATCTGCAAGGGGACATTTGGAGGGCTTCGAGTCCTGGGGTGGAAAAGGAAATATCTTCTCATCAAAGCTACATGGAAGCATTCTCAGAAGCTGCTTTGTGATGATTGCTTTCAAGTCACCGAGCTGAACATTCCCTTTGATGGAGCCTTTTGGAAACACACTTTTGGTAGAATCTGAAAGGGGATATTTGGACCGCTTTGAGGCCTATGGCACTAGAGTTTATAACTGCACATAAAAACGAGACAGTAGCATTCCCAGGAAACACTTTGTGACGATTGAGTTCAACTCACGGAGCTGAACATTCCTTTGGATGGAGCAGTTTCCAAACACACTTTGTGTAGAATCTGCAAGTGGAGATTCGGACCGCTCTGAGGATTTCGTTGGATACGGGAGAGAACTCACCTACGTAAACAGAAGCATTCTCAGAACCTTCTTCGTGATGCTTGCATTCAACTCACAGTGTTGAACCTTTCTCTGACAGTTCAGGTTTGAAACACTCCTTCTGCAGAATCTGCAAGTGGAGATTTGGACCTCTTTGAGGCCTGTCGTAGTAAAGGAAAGAACTTCATCTAAAAACAAGACAGAAGCATTCTCAGAAAATTCTTTGCGATGATTGAGTTTAACTCACAGAGCAGAGCAGGTCTTTTGATGGAGCATTTTCAAAACACACGTTTTGTAGGATATGCAAGTGGATATTGGGACTTCTCTGAGAATTTCGTTGGAAACGGGAAGAACCTCACGTAACTGAAGAGGAACATTCTCAGAACTTCTTTCTGATGTTGACATTCAACTGACAGAGGTGAACCTTCCCTTGTGAGTTCAGGTTGAAACGCTCCTTTCGTAGCATCTGCAAGTGGAGATTTGGAACGCTATGAGGCCTACGGTAGTAAAGGAAACAGCTTCATGTAAAAACTGGACAGAAGCATTCTCAGAAAATACTTTGGGATGATTGAGTTCAACTCACAGAGCTGAACATTCCTTTGGGTGGAGCAGTTTTGAAACACACTTTTTGTAGACTCTGCAGGTGGATATTTGGACCTCTCTGAAGATTTCGTTGGAAACGGGTTAAGGTCGCCTAACTAAACAGAAGCTTTCGCAGAAATATCCTTCTGAGGTTGGCATTCAAAGTCCAGAGCTAAGCCTTCCTTTGGTAGTTCACGTTTGAAACACTCTTTTTGGAGGACCTGCAAGTGGATATTTGGAGCACTTTGTGGCCTTCGTTCGAAACGGCTATATCTTCACATAAAATCTAGACAGAAGCCTTCTCAGAAACTTCTCTGTGATGATTGCATGCAACTCACAGAGTTGAACATTCCTTTTGATAGAGCAGTTTTGAAACTCTGTTTTGCTAGCATCTGCAAATGGATAGGTGGAACTCTGTGAGGACTTCTTTGGAAACGGGAATATCCTCACGTAAAAAGTAAACAGAAGCATTCTCAGAAACTCCTTTGTGAGGCTTGTGTTCAACTCCCAGAGTATAACATTGCTTTTCATGGAGCAGTTTTGAAACATTCTTTTCGTAGAGCCTCCAAGTGGACATTTGGAGCCCTTTCAGGCCTGTGGTGGATAAGGAAATATCTTCACATAAAAACTAGAGAGAAGCATTGTCAGAAACTTCTTGGTGATGATTGCATTCAACTCACGGAGCTGAGGATTCCTTTTGATGCAGCAGTTTGGAAACACTCTTTCGGTGGAATCTGCAAGCGGATACGTGGACCTCTTTGAACATTCCGATGGAAAAGGGATAATCTTCCCATAAAAGCTAAACGGAAGCATGCTCAGGAACTTCTTTGTGATGTTTGCATTCAACTCGCAGAGTTGTACTTTCCTTTTGATAGAGCAGCTTTGAAACCCTCTCTTTCTAGCATCTGCAAGGGGACATTTGGAGGGCTTCGAGGCCTGGGGTGGAAAAGGAAATGTCTTCTCATCAAAGATACATGGAAGCATTCTCAGAAGCTGCTTTGTGATGATTGCTTTCAAGTCACCGAGCTGAACATTCCCTTTGATGGAGCCGTTTGGAAACACACTTTTGGTAGAATCTGAAAGGGGAGATTTGGACCGCTTTGAGGCCTATGGCAGTAGAGGATAAAACTGCACATAAAAACGAGACAGTAGCATTCCCAGGAAACACTTTGTGACGATTGAGTTCAACTCACGGAGCTGAACATTCCTTTGGATGGAGCAGTTTCCAAACACACTTTGTGTAGAATCTGCAAGTGGAGATTCGGACCGCTCTGAGGATTTCGTTGGATACGGGAGAGAACTCACCTACGTAAACAGAAGCATTCTCAGAACCTTCTTCGTGATGCTTGCATTCAACTCACAGTGTTGAACCTTCCTCTGACGGTTCAGGTTTGAAACACTCCTTCTGCAGAATCTGCAAGTGGAGATTTGGACCTCTTTGAGGCCTGTCGTAGTAAAGGAAAGAACTTCATCTAAAAACAAGACAGAAGCATTCTCAGAAAATTCTTTGCGATGATTGAGTTTAACTCACAGAGCTGAGCAGGTCTTTTGATGGAGCATTTTCAAAACACACGTTTTGTAGAATATGCAAGTGGATATTGGGACTTCTCTGAGAATTTCGTTGGAAACGGGATAAACCTCACATAACTGAAGAGGAACATTCTCAGAACTTCTTTGTGATGTTGACATTCAACTGACAGAGGTGAACCTTCCCTTGTGAGTTCAGGTTGAAACGCTCCTTTCGTAGCATCTGCAAGTGGAGATTTGGAACGCTTTGAGGCCTACGGTAGTAAAGGAAACAGCTTCATGTAAAAACTGGACAGAAGCATTCTCAGAAAATACTTTGGGATGATTGAGTTCAACTCACAGAGCTGAACATTCCTTTGGGTGGAGCAGTTTTGAAACACACTTTTTGTAGACTCTGCAGGTGGATATTTGGACCTCTCTGAGGATTTCGTTGGAAACGGGATAACGTCGCCTAACTAAACAGAAGCTTTCGCAGAAACATCCTTCTGACGTTGGCATTCAAAGTCCAGAGTTGAGCCTTCCTTTGGTAGTTCACGTTTGAAACACTCTTTTTGGAGGACCTGCAAGTGGATATTTGGAGCACTTTGTGGCCTTCGTTCGAAACGGCTATATCTTCACATAAAATCTAGACAGAAGCCTTCTCAGAAACTTCTCTGTGATGATTGCATGCAACTCACAGAGTTGAACATTCCTTTTGATAGAGCAGTTTTGAAACTCTCTTTTGCTAGCATCTGCAAATGGATAGGTGGAACTCTGTGGAGACTTCTTTGGAAACGGGAATATCCTCACGTAAAAAGTAAACAGAAGCATTCTCAGAAACTCCTTTGTGAGGCTTGTGTTCAACTCCCAGAGTATAACATTGCTTTTCATGGAGCAGTTTTGAAACATTCTTTTCGTAGAGCCTCCAAGTGGACATTTGGAGCCCTTTCAGGCCTGTGGTGGATAAGGAAATATCTTCACATAAAAACTAGAGAGAAGCATTGTCAGAAACTTCTTGGTGATGATTGCATTCAACTCACGGAGCTGAGGATTCCTTTTGATGCAGCAGTTTGGAAACACTCTTTCGGTGGAATCTGCAAGCGGATACGTGGACCTCTTTGAACATTCCGATGGAAAAGGGATAATCTTCCCATAAAAGCTAAACGGAAGCATGCTCAGGAACTTCTTTGTGATGTTTGCATTCAACTCGCAGAGTTGTACTTTCCTTTTGATAGAGCAGCTTTGAAACCCTCTCTTTCTAGCATCTGCAAGGGGACATTTGGAGGGCTTCGAGGCCTGGGGTGGAAAAGGAAATGTCTTCTCATCAAAGATACATGGAAGCATTCTCAGAAGCTGCTTTGTGATGATTGCTTTCAAGTCACCGAGCTGAACATTCCCTTTGATGGAGCCGTTTGGAAACACACTTTTGGTAGAATCTGAAAGGGGAGATTTGGACAGCTTTGAGGCCTATGGCAGTAGAGGATATAACTGCACATAAAAATGAGACTGTAGCATTCCCAGGAAACACTTTGTGACGATTGAGTTCAACTCACGGAGCTGAACATTCCTTTGGATGGAGCAGTTTCCAAACACACTTTGTGTAGAATCTGCAAGTGGAGATTCGGACCGCTCTGAGGATTTCGTTGGATACGGGAGAGAACTCACCTACGTAAACAGAAGCATTCTCAGAACCTTCTTCGTGATGCTTGCATTCAACTCACAGTGTTGAACCTTCCTCTGACGGTTCAGGTTTGAAACACTCCTTCTGCAGAATCTGCAAGTGGAGATTTGGACCTCTTTGAGGCCTGTCGTAGTAAAGGAAAGAACTTCATTTAAAAACAAGACAGAAGCATTCTCAGAAAATTCTTTGCGATGATTGAGTTTAACTCACAGAGCTGAGCAGGTCTTTTGATGGAGCATTTTCAAAACACACGTTTTGTAGAATATGCAAGTGGATATTGGGACTTCTCTGAGAATTTCGTTGGAAACGGGATAAACCTCACATAACTGAAGAGGAACATTCTCAGACTTCTT
>NC_000001.11:121898518-121902342 GCF_000001405.40 Homo sapiens | reverse complement strand
AGAACTTTGTGACGATTGAGTTCACCTCACGGAGCTGAACATTCCTTTGGATGGAGCAGTTTCCAAACACACTTTGTGTAGAATCTGCAAGTGGAGATTCGGACCGCTCTGAGGATTTCATTGGATACGGGAGAGAACTCACCTACGTAAACGGAAGCATTCTCAGAACCTTCTTCGTGATGCTTGCATTCAACTCACAGTGTTGAACCTTTCTCTGACAGTTCAGGTTTGAAACACTCCTTCTGCAGAATCTGCAAGTGGAGATTTGGACCTCTTTGAAGCCTGTCGTAGTAAAGGAAAGAACTTCATCTAAAAACAAGACAGAAGCATTCTCAGAAAATTCTTTGCGATGATTGAGTTTAACTCACAGAGCTGAGCAGGTCTTTTGATGGAGCATTTTCAAAACACACGTTTTGTATAATATGCAAGTGGATATTGGGACTTCTCTGAGAATTTCGTTGGAAACGGGATAAACCTCACATAACTGAAGAGGAACATTCTCAGAACTTCTTTGTGATGTTGACATTCAACTGACAGAGGTGAACCTTCCCTTGTGAGTTCAGGTTGAAACGCTCTTTTCGTAGCATCTGCAAGTGGAGATTTGGAACGCTTTGAGGCCTACGGTAGTAAAGGAAACAGCCTCATGTAAAAACTGGACAGAAGCATTCTCAGGAAATACTTTGGGATGATTGAGTTCAACTCACAGAGCTGAACATTCCTTTGGGTGGAGCAGTTTTGAAACACACTTTTTGTAGACTCTGCAGGTGGATATTTGGACCTCTCTGAGGATTTCGTTGGAAACGGGATAACGTCGCCTAACTAAACAGAAGCTTTCGCAGAAACATCCTTCTGACGTTGGCATTCAAAGTCCAGAGTTGAGCCTTCCTTTGGTAGTTCAAGTTTGAAACACTCTTTTTGGAGGACCTGCAAGTGGATATTTGGAGCACTTTGTGGCCTTCGTTCGAAACGGCTATATCTTCACATAAAATCTAGACAGAAGCCTTCTCAGAAACTTCTCTGTGATGATTGCATGCAACTCACAGAGTTGAACATTCCTTTTGATAGAGCAGTTTTGAAACTCTCTTTTGCTAGCATCTGCAAATGGATAGGTGGAACTCTGTGGAGACTTCTTTGGAAACGGGAATATCCTCACGTAAAAAGTAAACAGAAGCATTCTCAGAAACTCCTTTGTGAGGCTTGTGTTCAACTCCCAGAGTATAACATTGCTTTTCATGGAGCAGTTTTGAAACATTCTTTTCGTAGAGCCTCCATGTGGACATTTGGAGCCCTTTCAGGCCTGTGGTGGATAAGGAAATATCTTCACATAAAAACTAGAGAGAAGCATTGTCAGAAACTTCTTGGTGATGATTGCATTCAACTCACGGAGCTGAGGATTCCTTTTGATGCAGCAGTTTGGAAACACTCTTTCGGTGGAATCTGCAAGCGGATATGTGGACCTCTTTGAACATTGCGATGGAAAAGGGATAATCTTCCCATAAAAGCTAAACTGAAGCATGCTCAGGAACTTCTTTGTGATGTTTGCATTCAACTCGCAGAGTTGTACTTTCCTTTTGATAGAGCAGCTTTGAAACCCTCTCTTTCTAGCATCTGCAAGGGGACATTTGGAGGGCTTCGAGGCCTGGGGTGGAAAAGGAAATGTCTTCTCATCAAAGATACATGGAAGCATTCTCAGAAGCTGCTTTGTGATGATTGCTTTCAAGTCACCGAGCTGAACATTCCCTTTGATGGAGCCTTTTGGAAACACACTTTTGGTAGAATCTGAAAGGGGAGATTTGGACCGCTTTGAGGCCTATGGCAGTAGAGGATATAACTGCACATAAAAATGAGACAGTAGCATTCCCAGGAAACACTTTGTGACGATTGAGTTCAACTCACGGAGCTGAACATTCCTTTGGATGGAGCAGTTTCCAAACACACTTTGTGTAGAATCTGCAAGTGGAGATTCGGACCGCTCTGAGGATTTCGTTGGATACGGGAGAGAACTCACCTACGTAAACAGAAGCATTCTCAGAACCTTCTTCGTGATGCTTGCATTCAACTCACAGTGTTGAACCTTCCTCTGACGGTTCAGGTTTGAAACACTCCTTCTGCAGAATCTGCAAGTGGAGATTTGGACCTCTTTGACGCCTGTCGTAGTAAAGGAAAGAACTTCATCTAAAAACAAGACAGAAGCATTCTCAGAAAATTCTTTGCGATGATTGAGTTTAACTCACAGAGCTGAGCAGGTCTTTTGATGGAGCATTTTCAAAACACACGTTTTGTAGAATATGCAAGTGGATATTGNGACTTCTCTGAGAATTTCGTGGAAACGGGATAAACCTCACATAACTGAAGAGGAACATTCTCAGAACTTCTTTGTGATGTTGACATTCACTGACAGAGGTGAACCTTCCCCTGTGAGTTCAGGTGAACGCTCCTTCGTACATCTGCAAGTGGAGATTTGGACGCTTTGAGGCCTACGGTAGTAAAGGAACAGCCTCATGTAAAAACTGGACAGAAGCATTCTCAGGAAATACTTTGGGATGATTGAGTTCAACTCACAGAGCTGAACATTCCTTTGGGTGGAGCAGTTTTGAAACACACTTTTTGCAGACTCTGCTGGTGGATATTTGGACCTCTCCTAGGATTTCGTTGGAAACGAGATAACGTCGCCTAACTAAACAGAAGTTTTCGCAGAAACATCTTTCTGACGTTGGCATTCAAAGTCCACAGTTGAGCCTTCCTTTGGTAGTTCACGTTTGAAACACTCTTTTTGGAAGTCCTGCAAGTGGATATTGGAGCACATTGTGGTCTTCGTTCGAAACAGCTATATCTTCACATAAAATCTAGACAGAAGCCTTCTCAGAAACTTCTCTGTGATGATTGCATGCAACTCACAGAGTTGAACATTCCTTTTGATAGAGCAGTTTTGAAACTCTCTTTTGCTAGCATCTGCAAATGGATAGGTGGAACTCTGTGAAGACTTCTTTGGAAACGGGAATATCCTCACGTAAAAAGTAAACAGAAGCAATCTCAGAAACTCCTTTGTGAGGCTTGTGTTCAACTCCCAGAGTATAACATTGCTTTTCATGGAGCAGTTTTGAAACATTCTTTTCATAGAGCCTCCAAGTGGACATTTGGAGCCCTTTCAGGCCTGTGGTGGTTAAGGAAATATCTTCACATAAAAACTAGAGAGAAGCATTCTCAGAATCCTCTTGGTGATGATTGCATTCAACTCACGGAGCTGAGGATTCCTTTTGATGCAGCAGTTTGGAAACACTCTTTCGGTGGAATCTGCAAGCGGATATGTGGACCTCTTTGAACATTCTGATGGAAAAGGGATAATCTTCCCGTAAAAGCTAAACAGAAGCATGCTCAGGAACTTCTTTGTGATGTTTGCATTCAACTCGCAGAGTTGTACTTTCCTTTTGATATAGCAGCTTTGAAACCCTCTCTTTCTAGCATCTGCAAGGGGACATTTGGAGGGCTTCGAGGCCTGGGGTGGAAAAGGAAATATCTTCTCATCAAAGCTACATGGAAGCATTCTCAGAAGCTGCTTTGTGATGATTGCTTTCAAGTCACCGAGCTGAACATTCCCTTTGATGGAGCCGTTGGGAAACACAATTTTGGTAGAATCCTAAAGGGGATATTTGGACAGCTTTGAGGCCTATGGCAGTAGAGGATATAACTGCACATAAAAACGAGACAGTAGCATTCCCAGGAAACACTTTGTGACGATTGAGTTCACTCACGGACTGAACATCCTTTGGATGAGCAGTTTCAAAACACTTGTGTAAATCTGCATTGAGATCGGACCCTCTGAG
>NC_000001.11:121893232-121898418 GCF_000001405.40 Homo sapiens | reverse complement strand
ACTCCCAGATATACATGCTTTCATGAGCAGTTGAAACATCTTTCGTAGAGCTCCAGTGGACATTGGAGCCTTTCAGCCTGTGTGATAAGGAAATATCTCACATAAAACTAGAGAGAGCATGTCAGAACTTCTTGGTGATGATGCATCAACTCACGAGCTGAGGGATCCTTTTGATGCAGCAGGTTGAAACACTCTTTCGGGGGAATCTGCAAGCGGATATGTGGACCTCTTGGAACATTGCGATGGAAAAGGGATAATCTTCCCGTAAAAGCTAAACGGAAGCATGCTCAGGAACTTCTTTGTGATGTTTGCATTCAACTCGCAGAGTTGTACTTTCCTTTTGATAGAGCAGCTTTGAAACCCTCTCTTTCTAGCATCTGCAAGGGGACATTTGGAGGGCTTCGAGTCCTGGGGTGGAAAAGGAAATATCTTCTCATCAAAGCTACATGGAAGCATTCTCAGAAGCTGCTTTGTGATGATTGCTTTCAAGTCACCGAGCTGAACATTCCCTTTGATGGAGCCTTTTGGAAACACACTTTTGGTAGAATCTGAAAGGGGATATTTGGACCGCTTTGAGGCCTATGGCACTAGAGTTTATAACTGCACATAAAAACGAGACAGTAGCATTCCCAGGAAACACTTTGTGACGATTGAGTTCAACTCACGGAGCTGAACATTCCTTTGGATGGAGCAGTTTCCAAACACACTTTGTGTAGAATCTGCAAGTGGAGATTCGGACCGCTCTGAGGATTTCGTTGGATACGGGAGAGAACTCACCTACGTAAACAGAAGCATTCTCAGAACCTTCTTCGTGATGCTTGCATTCAACTCACAGTGTTGAACCTTTCTCTGACGGTTCAGGTTTGAAACACTCCTTCTGCAGAATCTGCAAGTGGAGATTTGGACCTCTTTGAGGCCTGTCGTAGTAAAGGAAAGAACTTCATCTAAAAACAAGACAGAAGCATTCTCAGAAAATTCTTTGCGATGATTGAGTTTAACTCACAGAGCTGAGCAGGTCTTTTGATGGAGCATTTTCAAAACACACGTTTTGTAGAATATGCAAGTGGATATTGGGACTTCTCTGAGAATTTCGTTGGAAACGGGATAAACCTCACATAACTGAAGAGGAACATTCTCAGAACTTCTTTGTGATGTTGACATTCAACTGACAGAGGTGAACCTTCCCTTGTGAGTTCAGGTTGAAACGCTCCTTTCGTAGCATCTGCCAGTGGAGATTTGGAACGCTTTGAGGCCTACGGTAGTAAAGGAAACAGCTTCATGTAAAAACTGGACAGAAGCATTCTCAGAAAATACTTTGGGATGATTGAGTTCAACTCACAGAGCTGAACATTCCTTTGGGTGGAGCAGTTTTGAAACACACTTTTTGTAGACTCTGCAGGTGGATATTTGGACCTCTCTGAGGATTTCGTTGGAAACGGGATAACGTCGCCTAACTAAACAGAAGCTTTCGCAGAAACATCCTTCTGACGTTGGCATTCAAAGTCCAGAGTTGAGCCTTCCTTTGGTAGTTCACGTTTGAAACACTCTTTTTGGAGGACCTGCAAGTGGATATTTGGAGCACTTTGTGGCCTTCGTTCGAAACGGCTATATCTTCACATAAAATCTAGACAGAAGCCTTCTCAGAAACTTCTCTGTGATGATTGCATGCAACTCACAGAGTTGAACATTCCTTTTGATAGAGCAGTTTTGAAACTCTCTTTTGCTAGCATCTGCAAATGGATAGGTGGAACTCTGTGAGGACTTCTTTGGAAACGGGAATATCCTCACGTAAAAAGTAAACAGAAGCATTCTCAGAAACTCCTTTGTGAGGCTTGTGTTCAACTCCCAGAGTATAACATTGCTTTTCATGGAGCAGTTTTGAAACATTCTTTTCGTAGAGCCTCCAAGTGGACATTTGGAGCCCTTTCAGGCCTGTGGTGGATAAGGAAATATCTTCACATAAAAACTAGAGAGAAGCATTGTCAGAAACTTCTTGGTGATGATTGCATTCAACTCACGGAGCTGAGGATTCCTTTTGATGCAGCAGTTTGGAAACACTCTTTCGGTGGAATCTGCAAGCGGATACGTGGACCTCTTTGAACATTCCGATGGAAAAGGGATAATCTTCCCATAAAAGCTAAACGGAAGCATGCTCAGGAACTTCTTTGTGATGTTTGCATTCAACTCGCAGAGTTGTACTTTCCTTTTGATAGAGCAGCTTTGAAACCCTCTCTTTCTAGCATCTGCAAGGGGACATTTGGAGGGCTTCGAGGCCTGGGGTGGAAAAGGAAATGTCTTCTCATCAAAGATACATGGAAGCATTCTCAGAAGCTGCTTTGTGATGATTGCTTTCAAGTCACCGAGCTGAACATTGCCTTTGATGGAGCCGTTTGGAAACACACTTTTGGTAGAATCTGAAAGGGGAGATTTGGACCGCTTTGAGGCCTATGGCAGTAGAGGATATAACTGCACATAAAAATGAGACAGTAGCATTCCCAGGAAACACTTTGTGACGATTGAGTTCAACTCACGGAGCTGAACATTCCTTTGGATGGAGCAGTTTCCAAACACACTTTGTGTAGAATCTGCAAGTGGAGATTCGGACCGCTCTGAGGATTTCGTTGGATACGGGAGAGAACTCACCTACGTAAACAGAAGCATTCTCAGAACCTTCTTCGTGATGCTTGCATTCAACTCACAGTGTTGAACCTTCCTCTGACGGTTCAGGTTTGAAACACTCCTTCTGCAGAATCTGCAAGTGGAGATTTGGACCTCTTTGAGGCCTGTCGTAGTAAAGGAAAGAACTTCATCTAAAAACAAGACAGAAGCATTCTCAGAAAATTCTTTGCGATGATTGAGTTTAACTCACAGAGCTGAGCAGGTCTTTTGATGGAGCATTTTCAAAACACACGTTTTGTAGAATATGCAAGTGGATATTGGGACTTCTCTGAGAATTTCGTTGGAAACGGGATAAACCTCACATAACTGAAGAGGAACATTCTCAGAACTTCTTTGTGATGTTGACATTCTACTGACAGAGGTGAACCTTCCCTTGTGAGTTCAGGTTGAAACGCTCCTTTCGTAGCATATGCAAGTGGAGATTTGGAACGCTTTGAGGCCTACGGTAGTAAAGGAAACAGCTTCATGTAAAAACTGGACAGAAGCATTCTCAGAAAATACTTTGGGATGATTGAGTTCAACTCACAGAGCTGAACATTCCTTTGGGTGGAGCAGTTTTGAAACACACTTTTTGTAGACTCTGCAGGTGGATATTTGGACCTCTCTGAGGATTTCGTTGGAAACGGGATAACGTCGCCTAACTAAACAGAAGCTTTCGCAGAAACATCCTTCTGACGTTGGCATTCAAAGTCCAGAGTTGAGCCTTCCTTTGGTAGTTCACGTTTGAAACACTCTTTTTGGAGGACCTGCAAGTGGATATTTGGAGCACTTTGTGGCCTTCGTTCGAAACGGCTATATCTTCAAATAAAATCTAGACAGAAGCCTTCTCAGAAACTTCTCTGTGATGATTGCATGCAACTCACAGAGTTGAACATTCCTTTTGATAGAGCAGTTTTGAAACTCTCTTTTGCTAGCATCTGCAAATGGATAGGTGGAACTCTGTGAAGACTTCTTTGGAAATGGGAATATCCTCACGTAAAAAGTAAACAGAAGCATTCTCAGAAACTCCTTTGTGAGGCTTGTGTTCAACTCCCAGAGTATAACATTGCTTTTCATGGAGCAGTTTTGAAACATTCTTTTCGTAGAGCCTCCAAGTGGACATTTGGAGCCCTTTCAGGCCTGTGGTGGATAAGGAAATATCTTCACATAAAAACTAGAGAGAAGCATTGTCAGAAACTTCTTGGTGATGATTGCATTCAACTCACGGAGCTGAGGATTCCTTTTGATGCAGCAGTTTGGAAACACTCTTTCGGTGGAATCTGCAAGCGGATACGTGGACCTCTTTGAACATTCCGATGGAAAAGGGATAATCTTCCCATAAAAGCTAAACGGAAGCATGCTCAGGAACTTCTTTGTGATGTTTGCATTCAACTCGCAGAGTTGTACTTTCCTTTTGATAGAGCAGCTTTGAAACCCTCTCTTTCTAGCATCTGCAAGGGGACATTTGGAGGGCTTCGAGGCCTGGGGTGGAAAAGGAAATGTCTTCTCATCAAAGATACATGGAAGCATTCTCAGAAGCTGCTTTGTGATGATTGCTTTCAAGTCACCGAGCTGAACATTCCCTTTGATGGAGCCGTTTGGAAACACACTTTTGGTAGAATCTGAAAGGGGAGATTTGGACAGCTTTGAGGCCTATGGCAGTAGAGGATATAACTGCACATAAAAATGAGACTGTAGCATTCCCAGGAAACACTTTGTGACGATTGAGTTCAACTCACGGAGCTGAACATTCCTTTGGATGGAGCAGTTTCCAAACACACTTTGTGTAGAATCTGCAAGTGGAGATTCGGACCGCTCTGAGGATTTCGTTGGATACGGGAGAGAACTCACCTACGTAAACAGAAGCATTCTCAGAACCTTCTTCGTGATGCTTGCATTCAACTCACAGTGTTGAACCTTCCTCTGACGGTTCAGGTTTGAAACACTCCTTCTGCAGAATCTGCAAGTGGAGATTTGGACCTCTTTGAGGCCTGTCGTAGTAAAGGAAAGAACTTCATTTAAAAACAAGACAGAAGCATTCTCAGAAAATTCTTTGCGATGATTGAGTTTAACTCACAGAGCTGAGCAGGTCTTTTGATGGAGCATTTTCAAAACACACGTTTTGTAGAATATGCAAGTGGATATTGGGACTTCTCTGAGAATTTCGTTGGAAACGGGATAAACCTCACATAACTGAAGAGGAACATTCTCAGAACTTCTTTGTGATGTTGACATTCAACTGACAGAGGTGAACCTTCCCTTGTGAGTTCAGGTTGAAACGCTCCTTTCGTAGCATCTGCAAGTGGAAATTTGGAACGCTTTGAGGCCTACGGTAGTAAAGGAAACAGCTTCATGTAAAAACTGGACAGAAGCATTCTCAGAAAATACTTTGGGATGATTGAGTTCAACTCACAGAGCTGAACATTCCTTTGGGTGGAGCAGTTTTGAAACACACTTTTTGTAGACTCTGCAGGTGGATATTTGGACCTCTCTGAGGATTTCGTGGAAACGGGATACGTCGCCAACTA
>NC_000001.11:121890973-121893132 GCF_000001405.40 Homo sapiens | reverse complement strand
CTTCGTGATGCTTGCATTCAACTCACAGTGTTGAACCTTTCTCTGACAGTTCAGGTTTGAAACACTCCTTCTGCAAAATCTGCTAGTGGAGATTTGGACCTCTTTGAGGCCTATCGTAGTAAAGGAAAGAACTTCATCTAAAAACAAGACTGAAGCATTCTCAGAAAATACTTTGCGATGATTGAGTTTAACTCACAGAGCTGAGCATATCTTTTGATGGCGCAATTTCCAAACACACCTTTTGTGGAATATGCCAGTGGATTTTGGGACTTCTCTGAGAATTTCGTTGGAAACGGGATAAACCTCACATAACTGAAGAGGAACATTCTCAGAACTTCTTGGTGATGTTGGCATTCAACTGACAGAGTTGAACCTTCCCTTGTGAGTTCAGGTTGAAACGCTCTTTTCGTAGTATCTGCAAGTGGAGGTTTGGAACGCTTTGAGGCCTACGGTAGTAAAGGGAACAGCTTCATGTAAAAACTGGACAGAAGAATTCTGAGAAAATACTTTGGGATGATTGAGTTCAACTCACAGAGCTGAACATTCCTTTGGGTGGAGCAGTTTTGAAACACACTGTTTGTAGACTCTGCAGGTGGATATTTGGACCTCTCTGAGGATTTCGTTGGAGACGGGATAACGTCACCTAACTAAACAGAAGTTTTCGCAGAAACATCCTTCTGACGTTGGCATTCAAAGTCCAGAGTTGAGCCTTCCTTTGGTAGTTCACGTTTGAAACACTCTTTTTGGAGGACCTGCAAGTGGATATTGNGAGCACTTTGTGGCCTTCGTTCGAAACGGCCATATCTTCACATAAAATCTAGACAGAAGCCTTCTCAGAAACTTCTCTGTGATGATTGCATGCAACTCACAGAGTTAAACATTCCTTTTGATGGAGCAGTTTTGAACTCTCTTTTGCTAGCATCTGCAAATGTATAGGTGGAACTCTGTGAAGACTTCTTTGGAAACGGGAATATCCTCACGTAAAAAGTAAACAGAAGCATTCTCAGAAACTCCTTTGTGAGGCTTGTGTTCAACTCCCAGAGTATAACATTGCTTTTCATAGAGCAGTTTTGAAAAATTCTTTTCGTAGAGCCTCCAAGTGGACATTTGGAGCGCTTTCAGGCCTGCGGTGGAAAAGGAAATATCTTCACATAAAAACTAGAGAGAAGCATTGTCAGAAACTTCTTGGTGATGATTGCATTCAACTCACGGAGCTGAGGATTCCTTTTGATGCAGCAGTTTGGAAACACTCTATCGGTGGAATCTGCAAGCAGATATGTGGACCTCTTTGAACATTTCGATGGAAAAGGGATAATCTTCCCGTAAAAGCTAAACGGAAGCATGCTCAGGAACTTCCTTGTGATGTTTGCATTCAACTCACAGAGTTCTACTTTCCTTTTGATAGAGCAGCTTTGAAACCCCCTCTTTCTAGCATCTGCAAGGGGACATTTGGAGGGCTTCGAGGCCTGGGGTGGAAAAGGAAGTATCTTCTCATCAAACCTACATGGAAGCATTCTCAGAACCTGCTTTCTGATGATTGCATTCAAGTCACCGAGTTGAACATCCCCTTTGATGGGGCCGTTTGGAAACACACTTTTGGTAGAATCTGAAAGGGGAGATTTGGACCGCTTTGAGGCCTATGGCAGTAGAGGATATAACTGCACATGAAAGCGAGACAGGAGCATTCCCGGGAAACGCTTTGTGACGATTGAGTTCAACTCACAGAGCTGAACATTCCTTTGGGTGGAGTAGTTTCCAAACACACTTTGTGTAGAATCTGCAAGTGGAGATTTGGACCGCTCTGAGGATTTCGTTGGATACGGGAGAAAAGTCACCTACGTAAACAGAAGCATTCTCAGAACCTTCTTCGTGATGCTTGCATTCAACTCACAGTGTTGAACCTTTCTCTGACAGTTCAGGTTTGAAACACTCCTTCTGCAGAATCTGCAAGTGGAGATTTGGACCTCCTTGAGGCCTATCGTAGTAAAGGAAAGAACTTCGTCTAAAAACAAGACGGAGGCATTCTCAAAAATTCTTTGCGATGATTGAGTTTACTCACAGAGCTGAGCATATCTTTTGATGGCGCATTTTCAAACACACCTTTTGTGGATATGCAAGTGGATTTGGGACTCTCTGAAAATTTCGTGAAACGGATAANC
>NC_000001.11:121873390-121890873 GCF_000001405.40 Homo sapiens | reverse complement strand
GCCTACGGTAGATAAAGGAAAAGCTTCATGTAAAAACTGGACAGAAGCATTCTCAGAAAATACTTTGGGATGATTGAGTTCAACTCACAGAGCTGAACATTCCTTTGGGTGGAGCAGTTTTGAAACACACTTTTTGTAGACTCTGCAGGTGGATATTTGGACCTCTCTGAGGATTTCGTTGGAAACGGGATAACGTCACCTAACTAAACAGAAGCTTTCGCAGAAACATCCTTCTGACGTTGGCATTCAAACTCCAGAGTTGAGCCTTCCTTTGGTAGTTCACGTTTGAAACACTCTTTTTGGAGGACCTGCAAGTGGATATTGGGAGCACTTTGTGGCCTTCGTTCGAAACGGCCATATCTTCACATAAAATCTAGACAGAAGCCTTCTCAGAAACTTCTCTGTGATGATTGCATGCAACTCACAGAGTTGAACATTCCCTTTGATGGAGCAGTTTTGAAACTCTCTTTTGCTAGCATCTGCAAATGGGTAGGTGGAACTCTTTGAAGACTTCTTTGGAAACGGGAATATCCTCACGTAAAAAGTAAACAGAAGCATTCTCAGAAACTCCTTTGTGAGGCTTGTGTTCAACTCCCAGAGTATAACATTGCTTTTCATAGAGCAGTTTTGAAACATTCTTTTCGTAGAGCCTCCAAGTGGACATTTGGAGCGCTTTCAGGCCTGCGGTGGAAAAGGAAATATCTTCACATAAAAACTAGAGAGAAGCATTGTCAGAAACTTCTTGGTGATGATTGCATTCAACTCACGGAGCTGAGGATTCCTTTGGATGCAGCAGTTTGGAAACACTCTTTCGGTGGAATCTGCAAGCGGATATGTGGACCTCTTTGAACATTTCGATGGAAAAGGGATAATCTTCCCGTAAAAGCTAAACGGAAGCATGCTCAGGAACTTCCTTGTGATGTTTGCATTCAACTCACAGAGTTGTACTTTCCTTTTGATAGAGCAGCTTTGAAATCCCCTCTTTCTAGCATCTGCAAGGGGACATTTGGAGGGCTTCGAGGCCTGGGGTGGAAAAGGAAATATCTTCTCATCAAACCTACATGGAAGCATTCTCAGAAGCTGCTTTGTGATGATTGCATTCAAGTCACCGAGTTGAACATCCCCTTTGATGGGGCCGTTTGGAAACACACTTTTGGTAGAATCTGAAAGGGGAGATTTGGACCGCTTTGAGGCCTATGGCAGTAGAGGATATAACTGCACATAAAATCGAGACAGGAGCATTCCCAGGAAACGCTTTGTGACGATTGAGTTCAACTCACAGAGCTGAACATTCCTTTGGGTGGAGCAGTTTCCAAACACACTTTGTGTAGAATCTGCAAGTGGAGATTTGGACCGCTCTGAGGATTTCGTTGGATACGGGAGAAAAGTCACCTACGTAAACAGAAGCATTCTCAGAACCTTCTTCGTGATGCTTGCATTCAACTCACAGTGTTGAACCTTTCTCTGACAGTTCAGGTTTGAAACACTCCTTCTGCAGAATCTGCAAGTGGACATTTGGACCTCCTTCAGGCCTATCGTAGTAAAGGAAAGAACTTCATCTAAAAACAAGACGGAAGCATTCTCAGAAAATACTTTGCGATGATTGAGTTTAACTCACAGAGCTGAGCATATCTTTTGATGGCGCATTTTCAAAACACACCTTTTGTGGAATATGCAAGTGGATTTTGGGACTTCTCTGAGAATTTCGTTGGAAACGGGATAAACCTCACGTAACTGAAGAGGAACATTCTCAGAAGTTCTTGGTGATGTTGGCATTCAACTGGCAGAGTTGAACCTTCCCTTGTGAGTTCAGGTTGAAACGCTCTTTTCGTAGTATCTGCAAGTGGAGGTTTGGAATGCTTTGAGGCCTACGGTAGTAAAGGAAACAGCTTCATGTAAAAACTGGACAGAAGCATTCTCAGAAAATACTTTGGGATGATTGAGTTCAACTCACAGAGCTGAACATTCCTTTGGGTGGAGCAGTTTTGAAACACACTTTTTGTAGACTCTGCAGGTGGATATTTGGACCTCTCTGAGGATTTCGTTGGAAACGGGATAACGTCACCTAACTAAACAGAAGCTTTCGCAGAAACATCCTTCTGACGTTGGCATTCAAAGTCCAGAGTTGAGCCTTCCTTTGGTACTTCACGTTTGAAACACTCTTTTTGGAGGACCTGCAAGTGGATATTGGGAGCACTTTGTGGCCTTCGTTCGAAACGGCCATATCTTCAAATAAAATCTAGACAGAAGCCTTCTCAGAAACTTCTCTGTGATGATTGCATGCAACTCACAGAGTTGAACATTCCTTTTGATGGAGCAGTTTTGAGACTCTCTTTTCCTAGCAACTGCAAATGGGTAGGTGGAACTCTGTGAAGACTTCTTTGGAAACGGGAATATCCTCACGTAAAAAGTAAACAGAAGCATTCTCAGAAACTCCTTTGTGAGGCTTGTGTTCAACTCCCAGAGTATAACATTGCTTTTCGTAGAGCAGTTTTGAAACATTCTTTTCGTAGAGCCTCCAAGTGGACATTTGGAGCGCTTTCAGGCCTGCAGTGGAAAAGGAAATATCTTCACATAAAAACTAGAGAGAAGCATTGTCAGAAACTTCTTGGTGATGATTGCATTCAACTCACGGAGCTGAGGATTCCTTTTGATGCAGCAGTTTGGAAACACTCTTTCAGTGGAATCTGCAAGCGGATATGTGGACCTCTTTGAACATTTCGATGGAAAAGGGATAATCTTCCCGTAAAAGCTAAACGGAAGCATGCTCAGGAACTTCCTTGTGATGTTTGCATTCACCTCACAGAGTTGTACTTTCCTTTTGATAGAGCAGCTTTGAAACCCCCTCTTTCTAGCATCTGCAAGGGGACATTTGGAGGGCTTCGAGGCCTCGGGTGGAAAAGGAAGTATCTTCTCATCAAACCTACATGGAAGCATTCTCAGAAGCTGCTTTGTGATGATTGCATTCAAGTCACCGAGTTGAACATCCCCTTTGATGGGGCCGTTTTGAAACACACTTTTGGTAGAATCTGAAAGGGGAGATTTGGACCGCTTTGAGGCCTATGGCAGTAGATGATATAACTGCACATGAAAGCGAGACAGGAGCATTCCCAGGAAACGCTTTGTGACGATTCAGTTCAACTCACAGAGCTGAACATTCCTTTGGGTGGAGCAGTTTCCAAACTCACTTTGTGTAGAATCTGCAAGTGGAGATTTGGACTGCTCTGAGGATTTCGTTGGATACGGGAGAAAAGTCACCTACGTAAACAGAAGCATTCTCAGAACCTTCTTCGTGATGCTTGCATTCAACTCACAGTGTTGAAACTTTCTCTGACAGTTCAGGTTTGAAACACTCCTTCTGCAGAATCTGCAAGTGGAGATTTGGACCTCCTTGAGGCCTATCGTAGTAAAGGAAAGAACTTCATCTAAAAACAAGACGGAAGCATTCTCAGAAAATTCTTTGCGATGATTGAGTTTAACTCACAGAGCTGAGCATATCTTTTGAAGGCGCATTTTCAAAACACACCTTTGTGGAATATGCAAGTGGATTTTGGGACTTCTCTGAGAATTTCGTTGGAAACGGGATAAATCTCACATAACTGAAGAGGAACATTCTCAGAACTTCTTGGTGATGTTGGCATTCAACTGACAGAGTTCAACCTTCCCTTGTGAGTTCAGGTTGAAACGCTCTTTTCGTAGTATCTGCAAGTGGAGGTTTGGAACGCTTTGAGGCCTACGGTAGTAAAGGAAACAGCTTCATGTAAAAACTGGACAGAAGCATTCTCAGAAAATACTTTGTGTTGATTGAGTTTAACTCACAGAGCTGAACATTCCTTTGGGTGGAGCAGTTTGGAAACACACTTTTTGGAGAATCTGCAGGTGGATATTTGGACCTCTCTGAGGATTTCGTTGGAAACGGGATAACGTCACCTAACTAAACAGAAGCTTTCGCAGAAACATCTTTCTGACGTTTGCATTCAAAGTCCAGAGTTGAACCTTCCTTTGATAGTTCACGTTTGAAACACTCTTGTTGGAGGACCTGCAAGTGGATATTTGGAGCACTTTGTGGCCTTCGTTCGAAACGGGTATATCTTCACAAAAAATCTAGACAGAAGCCTTCTCAGAAACTTCTCTGCGATGATTGCATTCAACTCACAGAGTTGAACATTCCTTTTGATAGAGCAGTTTTGAAACTCTCTTTTTCTAGCATCTGCAAATGGATAGGTGGAACTCTGTGAAGATTTCTTTGGAAACGGGAATATCTTCACGTAAAAAGTAAACAGAAGCATTCTCAGAAACTCCTTTGTGAGGCTTGTGTTCAACTCCCAGAGTATAACATTGCTTTTCATAGAGCAGTTTTGAAACATTCTTTTCGTAGTGTCTCCAAGTGGACATTTGGAGCGCTTTCTGGCCTGTGGTGGAAAAGATAATATCTTCACATAAAAACTAGAGAGCAGCATTGTCAGAAACTTCTTTGTGATGATTGCATTCAACTCACGGAGTTTAAGATTCCTTTTGATACAGCAGTTTGGAAACACTCTTTCGGTGGAATCTGCAAGTGGATATGCGGACCTCTTTGAACATTTCGATGGAATAGGGATTATCTTCCCATGAAAGCTAAACGGAAGCATGCTCAGGAACTTCTTTGTGATGTTTGCATTCAACTCACAGAGTTGTACTTTACTTTTGATAGAGCAGCTTTGAAACCCTCTCTTTCTAGCATCTGCAAGGAGACATTTGGAGGGCTTCGAGACCTGGGGTGGAAAAGGAAATATCTTCTCATAAAAGCTACATGGAAGCATTCTCAGAAACTGCTTTGTGATGATTGCATTCAAGTCACAGTGTTGAACATTCCCTTTGATAGAGCCGTTTGGAAACACACTTCTGGTAGAATCTGAAAGGGGAGATTTGGAACACTTTGAGGCCTATGGCAGCAGAGGATATAACTGCACATAAAAACTAGACAGTAGCATTCCCAGGAAACACTTTGTGACGATTGAGTTCAACTCTCAGAGCTGAACACTCCTTTGTTTGGAGCAGTTTCAAAACACACTTTCTGTAGAATCTGCAAGTGGATATTTGGACCTCTCTGAGGATTTCGTTGGATACGGGAGAAAACTCACCTATCTAAACAGAAGTATTCTCAGAACCTTCTTCGTGATGCTTGCATTCAACTCACAGTGTTGAACCTTTCTCTGATAGTTCAGGTTTGAAACACTCCTTCTGCAGAATCTGCAAGTGGAGATTTGGACCTCTTTGAGGCCTATCGTAGTAAAGGAAATAACTTCATCCTAAAACAAGACGGAAGCATTCTCAGAAAATTCTTTGCGATGATTGAGTTTAACTCACAGAGCTGAGCATATCTTTTGATGGCGCAATTTCCAAACACACCTTTTGTGGAATATGCCAGTGGATTTTGGGACTTCTCTGAGAATTTCGTTGGAAACGGGATAAACCTCACATAACTGAAGAGGAACATTCTCAGAAGTTCTTGGTGATGTTGGCATTCAACTGACAGAGTTGAAACTTCCCTTGTGAGTTCAGGTTGAAACGCTCTTTTCGTAGTATCTGCAAGTGGAGGTTTGGAACGCTTTGAGGCCTACGGTAGTAAAGGAAACAGCTTCATGTAAAAACTGGACAGAAGCCTTCTCAGAAAATACTTTGGGATGATTGAATTCAACTCACAGAGCTGAACATTCCTTTGGGTGGAGCAGTTTTGAAACACACTTTTTGTAGACTCTGCAGGTGGATATTTGGACCTATCTCAGGATTTCGTTGGAGACGTGATAACGTCACCTAACTAAACAGAAGCTTTCGCAGAAACATCCTTCTGACGTTGGCATTCAAAGTCCAGAGTTGAGCCTTCCTTTGGTAGTTCACTTTTGAAACAATCTTTTTGGAGGACCTGCAAGTGGATATTGGGAGCACTTTGTGGCCTTCGTTCGAAACGGCTATATCTTCACATAAAATCTAGACAGAAGCCTTCTCAGAAACTTCTCTGTGATGATTGCACGCAACTCACAGAGTTGAACATTCCTTTTGATAGAGCAGTTTTGAAACTCTCTAGTTTTGCTGGCATCTGCAAATGGATAGGTGGAACTCTGTGAAGACTTCTTTGGAAACGGGAATATCCCCACGTAAAAAGTAAACAGAAGCATTCTCAGAAACTCCTTTGTGAGGCTTGTGTTCAACTCCCAGAGTAGAACATTGCTCTTCATAGAGCAGTTTTGAAACATTCTTTTCGTAGAGCCTCCAAGTGGACATTTGGAGCGCTTTCAGGCCTGCGGTGAAAAAGGAAATATCTTCATATAAAAACTAGAGAGAAGCATTGTCAGAAACTTCTTGGTGATGATTGCTTTCACTCACGGAGCTGAGGATTCCTTGGATGCAGCAGTTTGGAAACACTCTTTCGGTGGAATCTGCAAGCGGATATGTGGACCTCTTTGAACATTTCGATGGAAAAGGGATAATCTTCCCGTAAAGCTAAACGGAAGCATGCTCAGGAACTTCCTTGTGATGTTTGCATTCAACTCACAGAGTTGTACTTTCCTTCTGATAGAGCAGCTTTGAAACCCCCTCTTTCTAGCATTTGCAAGGGGACATTTGGAGGGCTTCGAGGCCTGGGGTGGAAAAGGAAATATCTTCTCATCAAAGCTACATGGAAGCATTCTCAGAAGCTGCTTTGTGATGATTGAATTCAAGTCACCGAGTTGAACATCCCCTTTGATGGGACCGTTTGGAAATACACTTCTGGTAGTATCTGAAAGGGGAGATTTGGACCGCTTTGAGGCCTATGGCAGCAGAGGACATAACTGCACATAAAAGCGAGACAGGAGCATTCCCAGGAAACGCTTTGTGACGATTGAGTTCAACTCACGGAGCTGAACATTCCTTTGGGTGGAGCAGTTTCCAAACACACTTTGTGTAGAATCTGCAAGTGGAGATTTGGACCGCTCTGAGGATTTCGTTGGATACGGGAGAAAAGTCACCTACGTAAACAGAAGCATTCTCAGAACCTTCTTCGTGATGCTTGCATTCAACTCACAGTGTTGAACCTTTCTCTGACAGTTCAGGTTTGAAACACTCCTTCTGCAGAATCTGCAAGTGGAGATTTGGACCTCTTTGAGGCCTATCGTAGTAAAGGAAAGAACTTCATCTAAAAACAAGACGGAAGCATTCTCAGAAAATTCTTTGTGATGATTGAGTTTAACCTACAGAGCTGAGCATATCTTTTGATGGCGCAACTTACAAAAACACCTTTTGTGGAATATGCCAGTGGATTTTGGGACTTCTCTGAGAATTTCGTTGGAAACGGGATAAACCTCACATAACTGAAGAGGAACATTCTCAGAAGTTCTTGGTGATGTTGGCATTCAACTGACAGATTTGAAACTTCCCTTGTGAGTTCAGGTTGAAACGCTCTTTTCGTAGTATCTGCAAGTGGAGGTTTGGAACGCTTTGAGGCCTACTGTAGTAAAGGAAACAGCTTCATGTAAAAACTGGACAGAAGCCTTCTCAGAAACTACTTTGGGATGATTGAGTTCAACTCACAGAGCTGAACCTTCCTTTGGGTGGAGCAGTTTTGAAACACACTTTTTGTAGACTCTGCAGGTGGATATTTGGACCTCTCTGAGGATTTCTTTGGAGACGGGATAACGTCACCTAACTAAACAGAAGCTTTCGCAGAAACATCCTTCTGACGTTGGCATTCAAAGTCCAGAGTTGAGCCTTCCTTTGGTAGTTCACGTTTGAAACACTCTTTTTGGAGGACCTGCAAGTGGATATTTGGAGCACTTTGTGGCCTTCGTTCGAAACGGCTATATCTTCACATAAAATCTAGACAGAAGCCTTCTCAGAAACTTCTCTGTGATGATTGCACGCAACTCACACAGTTGAACATTCCTTTTGATAGAGCAGTTTTGAAACTCTCTAGTTTTGCTGGCATCTGCAAATGGATAGGTGGAACTCTGTGAAGACTTCTTTGGAAACGGGAATATCCTCACGTAAAAACTAAACAGAAGCATTCTCAGAAACTCCTTTGTGAGGCTTGTGTCAACTCCCAGAGTATAACATTGCTTTTCATAGAGCAGTTTTGAACATTCTTTTCGTAGAGCCTCCAAGTGGACATTTGGAGCGCTTTCAGGCCTGTGTTGGAAAAGGAAATATCTTCACATAAAAACTAGAGAGAAGCATTGTCAGAAACTTCTTGGTGATGATTGCATTCAACTCACGGAGCTGAGGATTCCTTTTGATGCAGCAGTTTGGAAACACTCTTTCGGTGGAATCTGCAAGCGGATATGTGGACCTCTTTGAACATTTCGATGGAAAAGGGATAATCTTCCCATAAAAGCTAAACGGAAGCATGCTCAGGAACTTCCTTGTGATGTTTGCATTGAACTCACAGAGTTGTACTTTCCTTTTGATAGAGCAGCTTTGAAACCCTCTCTTTCTAGCATCTGCAAGGGGACATTTAGAGGGCTTCGAGGCCTGGGGTGGAAAAGGAAATATCTTCTCATCAAAGCTACATGGAAGCATTCTCAGAAGCTGCTTCGGGATGATTGCATTCAAGTCACCGAGTTGAACATTCCCTTTGATGGAGCCGTTTGGAAACACACTTTTGGTAGAATCTGAAAGGGGAGATTTGGACCGCTTTGAGGCCTATGGCAGTAGAGGATATTACTGCACATAAAAGCAAGACAGGAGCATTCCCAGGAAACACTTTGTGACGATTGAGTTCAACTCACAGAGCTGAACATTCCTTTGGATGGAGCAGTTTCCAAACACACTTTGTGTAGAATCTGCAAGTGGAGATTTGGACCGCTCTGAGGATTTCGTTGGATACGGGAGAAAACTCACCTACGTAAACAGAAGCATTCTCAGAACCTTCTTCGTGATGCTTGCATTCAACTCACAGTGTTGAACCTTTCTCTGACAGTTCAGGTTTGAAACACTCCTTCTGCAGAATCTGCAAGTGGAGATTTGGACCTCTTTGAGGCCGATCGTAGTAAAGGAAAGAACTTCATCTAAAAACAAGACAGATGCCTTCTCAGAAAATTCTTTGCGATGATTGAGTTTAACTCACAGAGGTGAGCATATCTTTTGATGGCGCATTTTCAAGACACACCTTTTGTAGAATATGCAAGTGGATTTTGGGACTTCTCCGAGAATTTCGTTGGAATCGGGATAAACCTCACATAACTGAAGAGGAACATTCTCAGAAGTTCTTGGTGACGTTGGCATTCAACTGACAGAGTTGAACCTTCCCTTGTGAGTTCAGGTTGAAACGCTCTTTTCGTAGTATCTGCAAGTGGAGGTTTGGAACGCTTTGAGGCCTACGGTAGTAAAGGAAACAGCTTCATGTAAAAACTCGACAGAAGCCTTCTCAGAAAATACTTTGGGATGATTGAGTTCAACTCACAGAGCTGAACCTTCCTTTGGGTGGAGCAGTTTTGAAACACACTTTTTGTAGACTCTGCAGGTGGATATTTGGACCTCTCTGAGGATTTCGTTGGAAACGGGATAACGTCACCTAACTAAACAGAAGCTTCCGCAGAAACATCCTTCTGACGTTGGCCTTCAAAGTCCCGAGTTGAGCCTTCCTTTGGTAGTTCACGTTTGAAACACTCTTTTTGGAGGACCTGCAAGTGGATATTTGGAGCACTTTGTGGCCTTCGTTCGAAACGGCTATATCTTCACATAAAATCTAGACAGAAGCCTTCTCAGAATCTTCTCTGTGATGATTGCACGCAACTCACAGAGTTGAACATTCCTTTTGATAGAGCAGTTTTGAAACTCTCTAGTTTTGCTGGCATCTGCAAATGGATAGGTGGAACTCTGTGAAGACTTCTTTGGAAACGGGAATATCCTCACGTAAAAAGTAAACAGAAGCATTCTCAGAAACTCCTTTGTGAGGTTTGTGTTCAACTCCCAGAGTATAACATTGCTTTTCATAGAGCAGTTTTGAAACATTCTTTTCGTAGAGCCTCCAAGTGGACATTTGGAGCGCTTTCAGGCCTGCGGTGGAAAAGGAAATATCTTCACATAAAAACTAGAGAGAAGCATTGTCAGAAACTTCTTGGTGATGATTGCATTCAACTCACGGAGCTGAGGATTCCTTTGGATGCAGCAGTTTGGAAACACTCTTTCGGTGGAATCTGCAAGCGGATATGTGGACCTCTTTGAACATTTCGATGGAAAAGGGATAATCTTCCCGTAAAAGCTAAACGGAAGCATGCTCAGGAACTTCCTTGTGATGTTTGCATTCAACTCACAGAGTTGTACTTTCCTTTTGATAGAGCAGCTTTGAAACCCCCTCTTTCTAGCATCTGCAAGGGGACATTTGGAGGGCTTCGAGGCCTGGTTTGGAAAAGGAAATATCTTCTCATCAAAGCTACATGGAAGCATTCTCAGAAGCTGCTTTGTGATGATTGCATTCAAGTCACCAAGTTGAACATCCCCTTTGATGGGGCCGTTTGGAAACACACTTTTGGTAGAATCTGAAAGGGGAGATTTGGACCGCTTTGAGGCCTATGGCAGTAGAGGATATAACTGCACAGAAAAGCGAGACAGGAGCATTCCCAGGAAACGCTTTGTGACCATTGAGTTCAACTCACAGAGCTGAACATTCCTTTGGGTGGAGCAGTTTCCAAACACACTTTGTGTAGAATCTGCAAGTGGAGATTTGGACCGCTCTGAGGATTTCGTTGGATACGGGAGAAAAGTCACCTACGTAAACAGAAGCATTCTCAGAACCTTCTTCGTGATGCTTGCATTCAACACCCAGTGTTGAACCTTTCTCTGACAGTTGAGGTTTGAAACACTCCTTCTGCAGAATCTGCAAGTGGAGATTTGGACCTCTTTGAAGCCTATCGTAGTAAAGGAAAGAACTTCATCTAAAAACAAGACGGAAGCATTCTCAGAAAATTCTTCGCGATGATTGAGTTTAACTCACAGAGCTGAGCATATCTTTTGATGGCGCATTTTCAAAACACACCTTTTGTGGAATATGCAAGTGGTTTTTTGGACTTCTCTGAGAATTTCGTTGGAAACGGGATATATCTCACATAACTGAAGAGGAACATTCCCAGAACTTCTTTGTGATGTTGGCATTCAACTGACAGAGTTGAACCTTCCCTTGTGAGTTCAGGTTGAAACGCCCTTTTCGTAGTATCTGCAAGTGGAGATTTGGAAAGCTTTGAGGCCTACGGTAGTAAAGGAAACAGCTTCATGTAAAAACTGGACAGAAGCATTCTTAGAAAATACTTTGTGATGATTGAGTTTAACTCACAGAGCTGAACATTCCTTTGGGTGGAGCAGTTTGGAAACACACTTTTTGCAGAATCTGCAGGTGGATATTTGGACCTCTCTGAGGATTTCGTTGGAAACGGGATAACGTCACCTAACTAAACAGAAGCTTTCGCAGAAACATCTTTCTGACGTTTGCATTCAAATTCCAGAGTTGAACCTTCCTTTGATAGTTCACGTTTGAAACACTCTTGTTGGAGGACCTGCAAGTGGACATTTGGAGCACTTTGTGGCCTTCGTTCGAAACGGGTATATCTTCACAAAAATATAGACAGAAGCCTTCTCAGAAATTTCTCTGTGATGATTGCATTCAACTCACAGAGTTGAACATTCCTTTTGATAGAGCAGTTTTGAAACTCTCTTTTTCTAGCATCTGCAAATGGATAGGTGGAACTCTGTGAAGATTTCTTTGGAAACGGGAATATCTTCACGTAAAAAGTAAACAGAAGCATTCTCAGAAACTCCTTTGTGAGGCTTGTGTTCAACTCCCAGAGTATAACATTGCTTTTCATAGAGCAGTTTTGAAACATTCTTTTCGTAGAGTCTCCAAGTGGACATTTGGAGCGCTTTCTGGCCTGTGGTGGAAAAGTAAATATCTTCACATAAACACTAGAGAGCAGCATTGTCAGAAACTTCTTTGTGATGATTGCATTCAACTCACGGAGTTTAAGATTCCTTTTGATACAGCAGTTTGGAAACACTCTTTCGGTGGAATCTGCAAGTGGATATGCGAACCTCTTTGAACATTTCGATGGAATAGGGACTATCTTCCCATGAAAGCTAAACGGAAGCATGCTCAGGAACTTCTTTGTGATGTTTGCATTCAACTCACAGAGTTGTACTTTCCTTTTGATAGAGCAGCTTTGAAACCCCCTCTTTCTAGCATCGGCAAGGGGACATTTGGAGGGCTTCGAGGCCTGGGGTGGAAAAGGAAATATCTTCTCATCAAAGCTACATGGAAGCATTCTCAGAAGCTGCTTTGTGATGATTGCATTCAAGTCACCGAGTTGAACATCCCCTTTGATGGGGCCGTTTGGAAACACACCTTTGGTAGAAACTGAAAGGGGAGATTTCGACCGCTTTGAGGCCTATGGCAGTAGAGGATATAACTGCACATAAAAGCGAGACAGGAGCATTCCCAGGAAACGCTTTGTGACGATTGAGTTCAACTCACAGAGCTGAACATTCCTTTGGGTGGAGCAGTTTCCAAACACACTTTGTGTAGAATCTGCAAGTGGAGATTTGGACCGCTCTGAGGATTTCACTGGATACGGGAGAAAAGTCACCTATGTAAACAGAAGCATTCTCAGAACCTTCTTCGTGATGCTTGCATTCAACTCACAGTGTTGAACCTTTCTCTGACAGTTCAGGTTTGAAACACTCCTTCTGCAGAATCTGCCAGTGGAGATTTGGACCTCTTTGAGGCCTGTCGTAGTAAAGGAAAGAACTTCATCTAAAAACAAGACGGAAGCATTCTCAGAAAATTCTTTGCAATGATTGAGTTTAACTCACAGAGCTGAGCATATCTTTTGATGGCACAATTTCCAAACACACCTTTTGTGGAATATGCAAGTGGATTTTGGGACTTCTCTGAGAATTTCGTTGGAAACGGGATAAACCTCACATAACTGAAGAGGAACATTCTCAGAAGTTCTTGGTGATGTTGACATTCAACTGACAGAGTTGAACCCTCCCTTGTGAGTTCAGGTTGAAACGCTCTTTTCGTAGTATCTGCAAGTGGAGGTTTGGAATGCTTTGAGGCCTACGGTAGTAAAGGAAACAGCTTCATGTAAAAACTGGACAGAAGCATTCTCAGAAAATACTTTGGGATGATTGAGTTGAACTCACAGAGCTGAACATTCCTTTGGGTGGAGCAGTTTTGAAACACACTTTTTGTAGACTCTGCAGGTGGATATTTGGACCTCTCCGAGGATTTCGTTGGAAACGGGATAACGTCACCTAACTAAACAGAAGCTTTCGCAGAAACATCCTTCTGACGATGGCATTCAAAGTCCAGATTTGAGCCTTCCTTTGGTAGTTCACCTTTGAAACACTCTTTTTGGAGGACCTGCAAGTGGATATTGGGAGCGCTTTGTGGCCTTCGTTCGAAACGGCCATATCTTCACATAAAATCTAGACAGAAGCCTTCTCAGAAACTTCTCTGTGATGATTGCATGCAACTCACAGAGTTGAACATTCCTTTTGATGGAGCAGTTTTGAAACTCTCTTTTGCTAGCATCTGCAAATGGATAGGTGGAACTCTGTGAAGACTTCTTTGGAAACGGGAATATCCTCACGTAAAAAGTAAACAGAAGCATTCTCAGAAACTCCTTTGTGAGGCTTGTGTTCAACTCCCAGAGTATAACATTGCTTTTCATAGAGCAGTTTTGAAACATTCTTTTCGTAGAGCCTCCAAGTGGACATTTGGAGCGCTTTCAGGCCTGCGGTGGAAAAGGAAATATCTTCACATAAAAACTAGAGAGAAGCATTGTCAGAAACTTCTTGGTGATGATTGCATTCAACTCACGGAGCTGAGGATTCCTTTGGATGCAGCAGTTTGGAAACACTCTTTCGGTGGAATCTGCAAGCGGATATGTGGACCTCTTTGAACATTTCGATGGAAAAGGGATAATCTTCCCGTAAAAGCTAAACGGAAGCATGCTCAGGAACTTCCTTGTGATGTTTGCATTCAACTCACAGAGTTGTACTTTCCTTTTGATAGAGCAGCTTTGAAACCCCCTCTTTCTAGCATCTGCAAGGGGACATTTGGAGGGCTTCGAGGCCTGGGGTGGAAAAGGAAATATCTTCTCATCAAAGCTACATGGAAGCATTCTCAGAAGCTGCTTTGTGATGATTGCATTCAAGTCACCGAGTTGAACATCCCCTTTGATGGGGCCGTTTGGAAACACACTTTTGGTAGAATCTGAAAGGGGAGATTTGGACCGCTTTGAGGCCTATGGCAGTAGAGGATATAACTGCACATAAAAGCGAGACAGGAGCATTCCCAGGAAACGCTTTGTGACCATTGAGTTCAACTCACAGAGCTGAACATTCCTTTGGGTGGAGCAGTTTCCAAACACACTTTGTGTAGAATCTTCAAGTGGAGATTTGGACCGCTCTGAGGATTTCGTTGGATACGGGAGAAAAGTCACCTATGTAAACAGAAGCATTCTCAGAACCTTCTTCGTGATGCTTGCATTCAACTCACAGTGTTGAACCTTTCTCTGACAGTTCAGGTTTAAACACTCCTTCTGCAGATCTGCAGTGAGATTGANNCTCCTGAGGGCTATCGTAGTGAAGGAAGACCTTCATCTAAAAGAGAGACGGAAGCATTCTCAGAAAATTCTTTGCGATGATGAGTTAACTCACAGAGCTGAGCATATCTTTTGATGGCGCAATTTCCAAACACACCTTTTGTGGAATATGCCAGTGGATTTTGGGACTTCTCTGAGAATTTCGTTGGAAACGGGATAAACCTCACATAACTGAAGAGGAACATTCTCAGAACTTCTTGGTGATGTTGGCATTCAACTGACAGAGTTGAACCTTCCCTTGTGAGTTCAGGTTGAAACGCTCTTTTCGTAGTATCTGTAAGTGGAGGTTTGGAACGCTTTGAGGCCTACGGTTGTAAAGGAAACAGCTTCATGTAAAAACTGGACAGAAGAATTCTCAGAAAATACTTTGGGATGATTGAGTTCAACTCACAGAGCTGAACATTCCTTTGGGTGGAGCAGTTTTGAAACACACTTTTTGTAGACTCTGCAGGTGGATATTTGGACCTCTCTGAGGATTTCGTTGGAGACGGGATAACGTCACCTAACTAAACAGAAGTTTTCGCAGAAACATCCTTCTGACGTTGGCATTCAAAGTCCAGAGTTGAGCCTTCCTTTGGTAGTTCACGTTTGAAACACTCTTTTTGGAGGACCTGCAAGTGGATATTTGGAGCACTTTGTGGCCTTCGTTCGAAACGGCCATATCTTCACATAAAATCTAGACAGAAGCCTTCTCAGAAACTTCTCTGTGATGATTGCATGCGACTCACAGAGTTAAACATTCCTTTTGATGGAGCAGTTTTGAAACTCTCTTTTGCTAGCATCTGCAAATGGATAGGTGGAACTCTGTGAAGACTTCTTTGGAAACGGGAATATCCTCACGTAAAAAGTAAACAGAAGCATTCTCAGAAACTCCTTTGTGAGGCTTGTGTTCAACTCCCAGAGTATAACATTGCTTTTCATAGAGCAGTTTTGAAACATTCTTTTCGTAGAGCCTCCAAGTGGACATTTGGAGCGCTTTCAGGCCTGCGGTGGAAAAGGAAATATCTTCACATAAAAACTAGAGAGAAGCATTGTCAGAAACTTCTTGGTGATGATTGCATTCAACTCACGGAGCTGAGGATTCCTTTTGATGCAGCAGTTTGGAAACACTCTTTGTGTGGAATCTGCAAGCGGATATGTGGACCTCTTTGAACATTTCGATGGAAAAGGGATAATCTTCCCGTAAAAGCTAAACGGAAGCATGCTCAGGAACTTCCTTGTGATGTTTGCATTCAACTCACAGAGTTGTACTTTCCTTTTGATAGAGCAGCTTTGAAACTCCCTCTTTCTAGCATCTGCAAGGGGACATTTGGAGGGCTTCGAGGCCTGGGGTGGAAAAGGAAGTATCTTCTCATCAAACCTACATGGAAGCATTCTCAGAACCTGCTTTCTGATGATTGCATTCAAGTCACCGAGTTGAACATCCCCTTTGATGGGGCCGTTTGGAAACACACTTTTGGTAGAATCTGAAAGGGGAGATTTGGACCGCTTTGAGGCCTATGGCAGTAGAGGATATAACTGCACATGAAAGCGAGACAGGAGCATTCCCAGGAAACGCTTTGTGACCATTGAGTTCAACTCACAGAGCTGAACATACCTTTGGGTGGAGCAGTTTCCAAACACACTTTGTGTAGAATCTGCAAGTGGAGATTTGGACCGCTCTGAGGATTTCGTTGGATACGGGAGAAAAGTCCCCTACATAAACAGAAGCATTCTCAGAACCTTCTTCGTGATGCTTGCATTCAACTCACAGTGTTGAACCTTTCTCTGACAGTTCAGGTTTGAAACACTCCTTCTGCAGAATCTGCAAGTGGAGATTTGGACCTCCTTGAGGCCTATCGTAGTAAAGGAAAGAACTTCATCTAAAAACAAGACGGAAGCATTCTTAGAAAATTGTTTGCGATGATTGAGTTTAACTCACAGAGCGGAGCATATCTTTTGATTGCGCATTTTCCAAACACACCTTTTGTGGAATATGCCAGTGGATTTTGGGACTTCTCTGAGAATTTCGTTGGAAACGGGATAAACCTCACATAACTGAAGAGGAACATTCTCAGAAGTTCTTGGTGATGTTGACATTCAACTGACAGAGTTGAACCCTCCCTTGTGAGTTCAGGTTGAAACGCTCTTTTCGTAGTATCTGC
This sequence comes from Homo sapiens, assembly GCF_000001405.40. Classification (NCBI taxonomy): domain Eukaryota; kingdom Metazoa; phylum Chordata; class Mammalia; order Primates; family Hominidae; genus Homo; species Homo sapiens. Next base: position 121,874,111 of record NC_000001.11, on the reverse strand, counting down.
AAGTGGAGGTTTGGAACGCTTTGAGGCCTACGGTAGTAAAGGAAACAGCTTCATGTAAAAACTGGACAGAAGCATTCTCAGAAAATACTTTGGGATGATTGAGTTCAACTCACAGAGCTGAACATTCCTTTGGGTGGAGCAGTTTTGAAACACACTTTTTGTAGACTCTGCAGGTGGATATTTGGACCTCTCCGAGGATTTCGTTGGAAACGGGATAACGTCACCTAACTAAACAGAAGCTTTCGCAGAAACATCCTTCTGACGTTGGCATTCAAAGTCCAGAGTTGAGCCTTCCTTTGGTAGTTCACGTTTGAAACACTCTTTTTGGAGGACCTGCAAGTGGATATTGGGAGCGCTTTGTGGCCTTCGTTCGAAACGGCCATATCTTCACATAAAATCTAGACAGAAGCCTTCTCAGAAACTTCTCTGTGATGATTGCATGCAACTCACAGAGTTGAACATTCCTTTTGATGGAGCAGTTTTGAAACTCTCTTTTGCTAGCATCTGCAAATGGATAGGTGGAACTCTGGAAGACTTCTTTGGAAACGGGAATATCCTCCCGTAAAAAGTTAACAGAAGCATTCTTCGAAACTCCTTTGTGGNAGCTGGGTTCACTCCAAGAGATAACATTGCTTTCATAGAGCAGTTTTGAAACATCTTTCCTTAAGCTCCAGTGGACATTGGACCCTTCAGCCTCGGTGAAAAGGAATACTTCAATAAA
>NC_000001.11:121870103-121873290 GCF_000001405.40 Homo sapiens | reverse complement strand
TCGCTCTTCGCCAGGTTGAGGCAGTGCGGATCTGGCTCACTGCAAGCTCCGCTCCCGGGTTCACGCCATTTCCTGCCTCAGCTCCCAAGTAGCTGGACTACAGGCGCCCGCCACTACGCCCGGTAATTTTTTGTATTTTTAGTAGAGACGGGGTTTCACCGTTTTAGCCGGGATGGTCTCGATCTCCTGACCTCGTGATCCGCCCGCCTCGGCCTCCCAAAGTGCTGGGATTACAGGCGTGAGCCACCGCGCCCGGCCGAAACGCTCTTTTCGTAGTATCTGCAAGTGGAGGTTTGGAACGCTTTGAGGCCTACAGTAGTAAAGGAAACAGCTTCATGTAAAAACTGGACAGAAGCATTCTCAGAAAATACTTTGGGATGATTGAGTTCAACTCACAGAGCTGAACATTCCTTTGGGTGGAGCAGTTTTGAAACACACTTTTTGTAGACTCCGCAGGTGGATATTTGGACCTCTCTGAGGATTTCGTTGGAAACGGGATAACGTCACCTAACTAAACAGAAGCTTTCGCAGAAACATCCTTCTGACGTTGGCATTCAAAGTCCAGAGTTGAGCCTTCCTTTGGTAGTTCACGTTTGAAACACTCTTTTTGGAGGACCTGCAAGTGGATATTGGGAGCACTTTGTGGCCTTCGTTCGAAACGGCCATATCTTCACATAAAATCTAGACAGAAGCCTTCTCAGAAACTTCTCTGTGATGATTGCATGCAACTCACAGAGTTGAACATTCCTTTTGATGGAGCAGTTTTGAAACTCTCTTTTGCTAGCATCTGCAAATGGATAGGTGGAACTCTGTGAAGACTGCTTTGGAAACGGGAATATCCTCACGTAAAAAGTAAACAGAAGCATTCTCAGAAACTACTTTGTGAGGCTTGTGTTCAACTCCCAGAGTATAACATTGCTTTTCATAGAGCAGTTTTGAAACATTCTTTTCGTAGAGCCTCCAAGTGGACATTTGGAGCGCTTTCAGGCCTGCGGTGGAAAAGGAAATATCTTCACATAAAAACTAGAGAGAAGCATTGTCAGAAACTTCTTGGTGATGATTGCATTCAACTCACGGAGCTGAGGATTCCTTTGGATGCAGCAGTTTGGAAACACTCTTTCGGTGGAATCTGCAAGCGGATATGTGGACCTCTTTGAACATTTCGATGGAAAAGGGATAATCTTCCCGTAAAAGCTAAACGGAAGCATGCTCAGGAACTTCCTTGTGATGTTTGCATTCAACTCACAGAGTTGTACTTTCCTTTTGATAGAGCAGCTTTGAAACCCCCTCTTTCTAGCATCTGCAAGGGGACATTTGGAGGGCTTCGAGGCCTGGGGTGGAAAAGGAAATATCTTCTCATCAAACCTACATGGAAGCATTCTCAGAAGCTGCTTTGTGATGATTGCATTCAAGTCACCGAGTTGAACATCCCCTTTGATGGGGCCGTTTGGAAACACACTTTTGGTAGAATCTGAAAGGGGAGATTTGGACCGCTTTGAGGCCTATGGCAGTAGAGGATATAACTGCACATAAAAGCGAGACAGGAGCATTCCCAGGAAACGCTTTGTGACGATTGAGTTCAACTCACAGAGCTGAACATTCCTTTGNGTGAAGCAGTTTCCAAACACACTTTGTGTAGAATCTGNCAGTGGAGATTTGGACCGCTCTGAGGATTTNCGTGGATACGGGAGAAAAGTCACCTACGTAAACAGAAGCATTCTCAGAACCTTTTCGTGATGCGGCATCAACTCACAGTGTTGAACCTTTCTCTGACAGTTCAGGTTTGAAACACTCTTTCTGCAGAATCTGCAAGTGACATTTGGACCTCTGAGGCCTATCGTAGTAAAGGAAAGACTTCATCTAAAACAGACGGAAGCATTCTCAGAAAATACTTTGCGATGATGAGTTTAACTCACAGAGCTGAGCATATCTTTTGATGGCGCATTTTCAAAACACACCTTTTGTGGAATATGGAAGTGGATTTTGGGACTTCTCTGAGAATTTCGTTGGAAAGGGGATAAACCTCACGTAACTGAAGAGGAACATTCTCAGAAGTTCTTCTTGATGTTGGCATTCAACTGGCAGAGTTGAACCTTCCCTTGTGAGTTCATGTTGAAACGCTCTTTTCGTAGTATCTGCAAGTGGAGGTTTGGAACGCTTTGAGGCCTACGGTAGTAAAGGAAACAGCTTCATGTAAAAACTGGACAGAAGCATTTTCAGAAAATACTTTGGGATGATTGAGTTCAACTCACAGAGCTGAACATTCCTTTGGGTGGAGCAGTTTTGAAACACACTTTTTGTAGACTCTGCAGGTGGATATTTGAACCTCTCTGAGGATTTCGTTGGAAACGGGATAACGTCACCTAACTAAACAGAAGCTTTCGCAGAAACATCCTTCTGACGTTGGCATTCAAAGTCCAGAGTTGAGCCTTCCTTTGGTAGTTCACGTTTGAAACACTCTTTTTGGAGGACCTGCAAGTGGATATTGGGAGCGCTTTGTGGCCTTCGTTCGAAACGGCCGTATCTTCACATAAAATCTAGACAGAAGCCTTCTCAGAAACTTCTCTGTGATGATTGCCTGCAACTCACAGAGTTGAACATTCCTTTTGATGGAGCAGTTTTGAAACTCTCTTTTGCTAGCATCTGCAAATGGATAGGTGGAACTCTGTGAAGACTTCTTTGGAAACGGGAATATCCTCACGTAAAAAGTAAACAGAAGCATTCTCAGAAACTCCTTTGTGAGGCTTGTGTTCAACTCCCAGAGTATAACATTGCTTTTCATAGAGCAGTTTTGAAACATTCTTTTCGTAGAGCCTCCNAGTGGACATTTGGAGCGCTTTCANGCCTGCNNGTGGAAAAGAAATATCTTCACATAAAAACTAGAGAGAAGCATTGTCAGAAACTTCTGGGTGATGATTGCATTCAACTCACGGAGCTGAAGAATTCCTTTGGATGCCGCAGTTTGGAACACTCCTTTCGGGGAATCTGCCAGCGGGATTTTTGGACCTCTTTGGACATTTTCGATGGAAAAGGGAAATTCCTTCCGTAAAACCTTAACGGAAACATGCTCAGGAATTTCCTTGGGAGGTTGCATCAACCCCCAAGATGGACTTTCCTTTTGAAAAACAGCTTGGAACCCCCCTTTTCAACATTCCAAGGGGAATTTTGGAGGCTTCCAGGGCTGGGG
>NC_000001.11:121867100-121870003 GCF_000001405.40 Homo sapiens | reverse complement strand
TCTGCGGTGGATATTTGGACCTCTCTGACGATTTCGCTTGGAAACGGGATAACGTCACCTAACTAAACAGAAGCTTTCGCAGAAAAATCTTTCTGACGTTTGCATTCAAAGTCCAGAAGTTGAGCACTTCCATTTGGATAGTTCANCGTTTGAAACACTCTTTTTGGAGGACCTGCAAGTGGATATTTGGAGCACTTTGTGGCCTTCGTTCGAAACGGCTGTATCTTCACATAAAATCTAGACAGAAGCCTTCTCAGAAACTTCTCTGTGATGATTGCATGCAACTCACAGAGTTGAACATTCCTTTTGATAGAGCAATTTTGAAACTCTCTTTTGCTAGCATCTGCAAATGGATAGGTGGAACTCTGTGAAGACTTCTTTGGAAACGGGAATATCCTCACGTAAAAAGTAAACAGAAGCATTCTCAGAAACTCCTTTGTGGGGCTTGTGTTCAACTCCCAGAGTATAACATTGCTTTTCATAGAGCAGTTTTGAAACATTCTTTTCGTAGAGCATCCAGGTGGACATTTGGAGGGCTTTCAGGCCTGTGTTGGAAAAGGAAATATCTTCACATAAAAACTAGAGAGAAGCATTGTCAGAAACCTCTTGGTGATGATTGCATTCAACTCACGGAGCTGAGGATTCCTTTTGATGCAGCTGTTTGGAAACACTCTTTCGGTGGAATCTGCAAGCGGATATGTGGACCTCTTTGAACATTTCGATGGAAAAGGGATAATCTTCCCGTAAAAGCTAAACGGAAGCATGCTCAGGAACTTCTTTGTGAAGTTTGCATTCAACTCACAGAGTTGTACTTTCCTTTTGATAGAGCAGCTTTGAAACCCTCTCTTTCTAGCATCTGCAAGGGGACATTTGGAGGGCTTCGAGGCCTGGGGTGGAAAAGGAAATATCTTCTCATCAAAGCTACATGGAAGCATTCTCAGAAACTGCTTTGTGATGATTGCATTCAAGTCACCGAGTTGAACATTCCCTTTGATGGAGCCGTTTGGAAACACACTTTTGGTAGAATCTGAAAGGGGAGATTTGGACCGCTTTGAGGCCTATGGCAGTAGAGGATATAACTGCACATAAAAAGGAGACAGGAGCATTCCCAGGAAACACTTTGTGACGATTGAGTTCAATTCACAGAGCTGAACATTCCTTTGGATGGAGCAGTTTCAAAACACACTTTTTGTAGAATCTGCAAGTGGAGATTTGGACCGCTCTGAGGATTTCATTGGATACGGGAGAAAACTCACCTATGTAAACAGAAGCATTCTCAGAACCTTCTTCGTGATGCTTGCATTCAACTCACAGTGTTGAACCTTTCTCTGATAGTTCAGGTTTGAAACACTCCTTCTGCAGAATCTGCAAGTGGAGATTTGGACCTCTTTGAGGCCTATCGTAGTAAAGGAAAGAACTTCATCTAAAAACAAGACAGAAGTATTCTCAGAAAATTCTTTGTGATGATTGAGTTTAACTCACAGAGCTGAGCATATCTTTTGATGGATACGGGAGAAAACTCACGTATGTAAACAGAAGCATTCTCAGAACCTTCTTCCTGATGCTTGCATTCAACTCACAGTGTTGAACCTTTCTCTGATAGTTCAGGTTTTAAACACTCCTTCTGCAGAATCTGCAAGTGGAGATTTGGACCTCTTTGAGGCCTATCGTAGTAAATGAAAGAACTTCATCTAAAAACAAGACAGAAGCATTCTCAGAAAATTCTTTGTGATGATTGGGTTTAACTCACAGAGCTGAGCATATCTTTTGATGGATACGGGAGAAAACACACCTATGTAAACAGAAGCATTCTCAGAACCTTCTTCGTGATGCTTGCATTCAACTCACAGTGTTGAACCTTTCTCTGATAGTTCAGGTTTTAAACACTCCTTCTGCAGAATCTGCAAGTGGAGATTTGGACCTCTTTGAGGCCTATCGTAGTAAAGGAAAGAACTTCATCTAAAAACAAGACAGAAGCATTCTCAGAAAATTCTTTGTGATGATTGAGTTTAACTCACACAGCTGAGCATATCTTTTGATGGATACGGGAGAAAACTCACCTATATAAACAGAAGCATTCTCAGAACCTTCTTCGTGATGCTTGCATTCAACTCACAGTGTTCAACCTTTCTCTGATAGTTCAGGTTTTAAACACTCCTTCTGCAGAATCTGCAAGTGGAGATTTGGACCTCTTTGAGGCCTATCGTAGTAAAGGATATAACCTCATCTAAAAACAAGACAGAAGCATTCTCAGAAAATTCTTTGTGATGATTGAGTTTAACACACAGAGCTGAGCATATCTTTTGATGGAGCATTTTCAAAACACACTTTTTGTAGAATATGCAAGTGGATATTTGGACTTCCCTGAGAATTTCGTGGGAAACGGGATAAACCTCACATAACTGAAGAGAAACATTCTCAGAACTTCTTTGTGATGTTGGCATTCAACTGATAGAGTTGAACCTTCCCTTGTGAGTTCAGGTTGAATCGCTCTTTTCGTAGTATCTGCAAGTGGAGATTTGGAACGCTTTGAGGCCTACGGTAGTAAAGGAAACAGCTTCATGTAAAAACTGGACAGAAGAATTCTCAGAAAATACTTTGGGATGATTGAGTTTAACTCACAGAGCTGAACATTCCTTTTGGTGGAGCAGTTTTGAAACACACTTTTTGTAGACTCTGCAGGTGGATATTTGGACCTCTCTGAGGATTTCGTTGGAAACGGGATAACGTCACCTAACTAAACAGAAGCTTCCGCAGAAAATCTTTCTGACGTTGCATTCAAAGTCCAGATGGAGCCTTCCTTTNGNTAGTTCCGTTTGAAACCACTCTTTTTGGAAGACTGGCAATGGAAATTTGGAGCACTTGGTGCCTTCCTTCAAACGGCTATTCTTCACTAAAATCTA
>NC_000001.11:121856565-121867000 GCF_000001405.40 Homo sapiens | reverse complement strand
GAACTTCTTGGTGATGATTGCATTCAACTCACGGAGTTGAGGATTCCTTTTGATACAGCAGTTTGGAAACACTCTTTCGGTGGAATCTGCAAGCGGATATGTGGACCTCTTTGAACATTTCGATGGAAAATGGATAATCTTCCCATAAAAGCTAAACGGAAGCATGCTCAGGAACTTCTTTGTGAAGTTTGCATTCAACTCACAGAGTTGTACTTTCCTTTTGATAGAGCAGCTTTGAAACCCTCTCTTTCTAGCATCTGCAAGGGGACATTTGGAGGGCTTCGAGGCCTGGGGTGGAAAAGGAAATATCTTCTCATCAAAGCTACATGGAAGCATTCTCAGAAACTGGTTTGTGATGATTGCATTCAAGTCACCGAGTTGAACATTCCCTTTGATGGAGCCGTTTGGAAACACACTTTTGGTAGAATCTGAAAGGGGAGATTTGGACCGCTTTGAGGCCTATGGCAGTAGAGGATATAACTGCACATAAAAAGGAGACAGGAGCATTCCCAGGAAACACTTTGTGACGATTGAGTTCAATTCACAGAGCTGAACATTCCTTTGGATGGAGCAGTTTCAAAACACACTTTTTGTAGAATCTGCAAGTGGAGATTTGGACCGCTCTGAGGATTTCATTGGATACGGGAGAAAACTCACCTATGTAAACAGAAGCATTCTCAGAACCTTCTTCGTGATGCTTGCATTCAACTCACAGTGTTGAACCTTTCTCTGATAGTTCAGGTTTGAAACACTCCTTCTGCAGAATCTGCAAGTGGAGATTTGGACCTCTTTGAGGCCTATCGTAGTAAAGGAAAGAACTTCATCTAAAAACAAGACAGAAGCATTCTCAGAAAATTCTTTGTGATGATTGAGTTTAACTCACAGAGCTGAGCATATCTTTTGATGGATACGGGAGAAAACTCACGTATGTAAACAGAAGCATTCTCAGAACCTTCTTCCTGATGCTTGCATTCAACTCACAGTGTTGAACCTTTCTCTGATAGTTCAGGTTTTAAACACTCCTTCTGCAGAATCTGCAAGTGGAGATTTGGACCTCTTTGAGGCCTATCGTAGTAAATGAAAGAACTTCATCTAAAAACAAGACAGAAGCATTCTCAGAAAATTCTTTGTGATGATTGGGTTTAACTCACAGAGCTGAGCATATCTTTTGATGGAGCATTTTCAAAACACACTTTTTGTAGAATATCCAAGTGGATATTTGGACTTCTCTGAGAATTTCGTTGGAAACGGGATAAACCTCACATAGGTGAGGAGAAACATTCTCAGAACTTCTTTGTAATGTTGGCATTCAAATGACAGAATTGAACCTTCCCTTGTGAGTTCAGGCTGAATCGCTCTTTTCGTAGTATCTGCAAGTGGAGATTTGGAACGCTTTGAGGCCTACGGTAGTAAAGGAAACAGCTTCATGTAAAAACTGGACAGAAGCATTCTCAGAAAATACTTTGTGATGATTGTGTTTAACTCACAGAGCTGAACATTCCTTTGGGTGGAGCAGTTTTGAAACACACTTTTTGTAGACTCTGCAGGTGGATATTTGGACCTCTCTGAGGATTTCGTTGGAAACGGGATAACGTCACCTAACTAAACAGAAGCTTTCGCAGAAACATCTTTCTGACGTTTGCATTCAAAGTCCAGAGTTGAACCTTCCTTTGATAGTTCACGTTTGAAACACTCTTTTTGGAGGACCTGCAAGTGGACATTTGGAGCACTTTGTGGCCTTCGTTCGAAACAGGTATATCTTCACATAAAATCTAGACAGAAGCCTTCTCAGAAACTTCTCTGTGATGATTGCATTCAACTCACAGATTTGAACATTTCTTTTGACAGAGCAGTTTTGAAACTCTCTTTTTCTAGCATCTGCAAATGGATACGTGGAACTCTGTGAAGATTTCTTTGGAAACGGGAATATCCTCACGTAAAATGTAAACAGAAGCCTTCTCGGAAACTACTTTGGGAGGCTTGTGTTCAACTCCCAGAGTATAACATTGCTTTTCATAGAGCAGTTTTGAAACATTCTTTTCGTAGATTCTCCAAGTGGACATTTGGAGCGCTTTCAGGCCTGTGGTGGAAAAGGAAATATCTTCACATAAAAACTAGAGAGAAGCATTGTCAGAAACTTCTTTGTGATGATTGCATGGAACTCACGGAGTTGAGGATTCCTTTTGATACAGCAGTTTGGAAACACACTTTCGGTGGAATCTGCAAGCGGATATGCGGACCTCTTTGAACATTTCGATGGAAAAGGGATAATCTTTCCATAAAAGCTAAACGGAAGCATGTTCAGGAACTTCTTTTTGATGTTTGCATTCAACTCACAGAGTTGTACTTTCCTTTTGATAGAGCAGCTTTGAAACCCTCTCTTTCTGGCATCTGCAAGGGGACATTTGGAGGGCTTCGAGGCCTGGGGTGGAAAAGGAAATATCTTCTCATAAAAGCTACATGGAAGCATTCTCAGAAACTGCTTTGTGATGATTGCATTCAAGTCACAGAGTTGAACATTCCCTTTGATAGAGCCATTTGGAAACACACTTTTGGTAGAATCTGAAAGGGGAGATTTGGACCGCTGTGAGGCCTATGGCAGTAGAGGATATAACTGCACATAAAAACTAGACAGTAGCATTCCCAGGAAACACTTTGTGACGATTGAGATCAACTCACAGAGCTGAACATTCCTTTGGATGGAGCAGTTTCAAAACACACTTTTTGTAGAATCTGCAAGTGGATATTTGGACCTCTCTGAGGATTTCATTGGATAAGGTAGAAAACTCACCTATCTAAACAGAAGCATTCTCAGAACCTCCTTCGTGATGCTTGCATTCAACTCACAGTGTTGAACCTTTCTCTCATAGTTCAGGTTTGAAACACTCCTTCTGCAGAATCTGCAAGTGGAGATTTGGACCACTTTGAGGCCTATCGTAGTAAAGGAGAGAACTTCATCTAAAAACTAGACAGAAGCATTCTCAGAAAATTCTTTGTGATGATTGAGTTTAACTCACAGAGCTGAGCATATCTTTTGATGGAGCATTTTCAAAACACACTTTTTGTAGATTATGCAAGTGGATATTTGGACATCTCTGAGAATTTCGTTGGAAACGGTATAAACCTCACATAACTGAAGAGAAGCATTCTCAGAACTTCTTTGTGATGTTGGTATTCAACTGACAGAGTTGAACCTTCCCTTGTGAGTTCAGGTTGAATCGCTCTTTTCGTAGTATCTGCAAGTGGAGATTTGGAATGCTTTGAGGATTACGGTAGTAAAGGAAACAGCTTCATGTAAAAACTGGACAGAAGCATTCTCAGAAAATACTTTGGGATGATTGAGTTTAACTCACAGAGCTGAGCATTCCTTTGGGTGGAGCAGTTTTGAAACACACTTTTTGTAGACTCTGCAGGTGGATATTTGGACCTCTCTGAGGATTTCTTTGGAAACGGGATAACGTCACCTAACTAAACAGAAGCTTTCGCAGAAACATCTTTCTGACGTTTGCATTCAAAGTCCAGAGTTGAACCTTCCTTTGATAGTTCACGTTTGAAACACTCTTGTTGGAGGACCTGCAAGTGGATATTTGGAGCACTTTGTGGTCTTCGTTCGAAACGGGTATATCTTCACATAAAATCTAGACAGAAGCCTTCTCAGAAACTTCTCTGTGATGATTGCATTCAACTCACAGAGTTGAACAGTCCTTTTGATAGAGCAGTTTTGAAACTCTCTTTTTCTAGCATCTGCAAATGGATAGGTGGAACTCTGTGAAGACTTCTTTGCAAACGGGAATATCTTCACGTAAAATAAACAGAAGCATTTTCAGAAACTCCTTTGTGAGGCTTGTGTTCAACTCCCAGAGTATAACATTGCTTTTCATAGAGCAGTTTTGAAACATTCCTTTCGTAGGGTCTGCAAGTGGACATTTTGAGCGCTTTCAGGCCTGCGGTGGAAAAGGAAATATCTTCACATAAAAACTAGAGAGAAGCATTGTCAGAAACTTCTTTGTGATGATTGCATTCACCTCACTGAGTTGAACATTCGTTTTGATACAGCAGTTTGGAATCACTCTTTCGGTGGAATCTGCAAGCTGATATTTGGACCTCTTTGAAGATTTCGATGGAAAAGGGATAATCTTCCCATAAAAGCTAAACGGAAACATTCTCAGAAACTTCTTTGTGATGTTTGCATTCAACTCACAGAGTTGTACTTTCCTTTAGATAGAGCCGCTTTGAAACCCTCTCTTTCTAGAACCTGCAAGTGGACATTTGGAGGGCTTCGCGGCCTGTGGTGGAAAAGGAAATATCTTCCCATAAAAGCTAGATGGAAGCATTCTCAGAAACTACATTGTGATGATTGCATTCACGTCACAGAGTTGAACACTCCGTTTGATAGAGCCGTTTGGAAACACACTTTTGGTAGAATCTGCAAGGGGAGATTTGGACCGTTTGAGGCGTATGGCCATAGAGGAAATAACTACATATAAAAACTAGACAGTAGCATTCCCAGGAAACACTTTGTGACGATTGAGTTCAACTCACAGAGCTGAACATTCCTTTGGATGGAGCAGTTTTGAAACACACTTTTTGTAGAATCTGCAAATGGATATTTGGACCTCTCTGAGGATTTCGTTGGAAACGGGATAACGTCCCCTAACTAAACAGAAGGTTTCGCAGAAACTACTTTGTGATGTTTGCATTCAAAGCCCAGAGTTGAACCTTCCTTTGATAGTTCACGTTTGAAACACTCTTTTTGCAGGATCTGCAAGTGGATATTTGGAGCCCTTTGTGGCCTTCATTCGAAACGGTTATATCTTCACATAAAATCTAGACAGAAGCCTTCTCAGAAACTTCTCTGTGATGATTGCATGCAACTCACAGTGTTGAACATTCCTTTTGATAGAACAGTTTTGAAACTCTCTTTGTGTAGAATCTGCAAGTGGATATGTGGACCTCTGTGAAGATTTCCTTGGAAACAAGAATATCTTCACATAAAAAGTAAACAGAAGCATTCTCAGAAACTTCTTTGTGAGGCTTGTGTTCAACTCCCAGAGTTTAACATTGCTCTTCATAGAGCAGTTTTGAAACATTCTTTTTGTAATGTCTGCAAGTGGACATTTAGAGCGCTTTCAGGCCTGTTGTGGCAAAGGAAATATCATCACATAAAAACTAGAGAGAAGCATTGTCAGAAACTTCTTTGTGATGATTGCATTCAACTCACGGAGTTGAAGATTCCTTTTGATACAGCAGTTTGGAAACACTCTTTCGGTGGAATCTGCAGGCGGATATTTGGACCTCTTTGAAGATTTCGATGGAAAAGGGATAATCTTCCGAAAAGCTAAACGAAAGCATTCTCAGAAACTTCTTTGTGATGTTTGCATTCAACTCACAGAGTTGTACTTTCCTTTTGATAGAGCAGCTTTGAAACCCTCTCTTTCTAGAATCTGCAAGTGGACATTTGGAGGGCTTCGAGGCATGTGGTCGAAAAGGAAATATCTTTTCATAAAAGCTAGATGGAAGAATTCTCAGAACCTACTTTGTGATGATTGCATTCAAGTCACAGAGTTGAACATTCCGTTTGATAGAGCCGTTTGCAAACACACTTTTGGTAGAATCTGAAAGGGGAGATTGGGACCGCTTTCTGGCCTACGGCAGCAGAGGAAATAACTACATATAAAAACAAGACAGTAGCATTCTCAGGAAACACTTTGTGACCATTAAGTTCAACTCACCTTGCTGAACATTCCTTTGGATGGAGCAGTTTCGAAACACACTTTTTGTAGAATCTGCAAGTGGATATTTGGACCTCTCTGAGGATTTCGTTGGAAACGGGATAAACCTCTCTTATCTAAACAGAAGCATTCTCAGAACCTTTTTCCTGATGTTTGCATTCAACTCACAGTGTTGAACATTGCTCTGATAGTTCAGGTTTGAAACACACTTTCTGTAGAATCTGCAAGTGGAGATTTGGACCTCTTTGAGGCCTATCGTAGTAAGGGAAATAACTTCATCGTAAAACAAGACAGAAGCATTCTCAGAAACTTCTTTGTGATGTTGTCATTCAACTCACAGGTTTGAACCTTCTCTTGTGAGTTCAGGTTGAAACTCTCTTTTTGTAGAATCTGCAAGTGGAGATTTGGACCACTTGGAGTCCTACGGTAGTAAAGGAAATAGCTTCATCTAAAAACTGGACAGAAGCATTCTTAGAAAATTCTTTCTGATGATTGAATTTAACTCACAGAGCACAACATGCCTTTGGATGGAGCAGTTTTGAAACACACTTTTTGTAGAATCTGCAAGTGGATATTTGGACCTCTCTGAGGATTTCGTTGGAAACGGGATAACGTCACCTAACTAAACAGAAGCTTTCGCAGAAACTTCTTTGTGATGTTTGCATTCAAAGCCCAGAGTTGAACCTTCCTTTGATAGTTCACTTTTGAAACACTCTTTTTGAAGGATCTGCAAGTGGATATTTGGAGCACTTTGTGGCCTTCGTTCGAAACGGGTATATCTTCACATAAAATCTAGACAGAAGCCTTCTCAGAAACTTCTCTGTGATGATTGCATGCAACTCACAGAGTTGAACATTCCTTTTGATAGAGCAGTTTTGAAACTCTCTTTTTGTAGAATCCGCAAGTGGATATGTGGACCTCTGTGAAGATTTCTTTGGAAACGGGAATATCTTCACATAAAAAGTAAACCGAAGCATTCTCAGAAACTTCTTTGTGAGGCTTGTGTTCAACTCCCAGAGTTTAACATTGCTTTTCAGAGAGCAGTTTTGAAACATTCCTTTCGTAGAGTCTGCAAGTGGACATTTGGAGCGCTTTCAGGCCTGATATCTTCACATAAAATCTAGAGAGAAGCATTGTCAGAAACTTCTTTGGATTGATTGCATTCAACTCACGGAGCTGAAGATTCCTTTTGATACAGCAGTTTGGAATCACTCTTTCGGTGGAATCTGCAAGCGGATATTTGGACCTCTTTGAAGATTTCGATGGAAAAAGGATAATCTTCCCATAAAAGCTAAACGGAAGCATTCTCAGAAACTTCTTTGTGATGTTTGCATTCAACTCGCAGAGTTGTACTTTCCTTTTCATAGAGCAGCTATGAAACCCTCTCTTTCTAGAATCTGTAAGTGGACATTTGGAGGGCTTCGAAGCCTGTGGTGGAAAAGGAAATATCTTCTCATAAAAGCTAGATGGAAGCATTCTCAGAAACTACTTTGTGATGATTGCATTCAAGTCACAGAGTTTAACATTCCCTTTGATAGAGCCGTTTGGAAACACACTTTTGGTAGAATCTGCAAGGGGAGATTTGGACCGCTTTGAGGCCTATGGCAGTAGAGGATATAACTGCACATATGAAAACTAGACAGTAGCATTCTCAGGAAACAATTTGTGACGATTGAGTTCAACTCACAGAGGTGAACATTCCTTTGGATGGAGCAGTTTTGAAACACAGTTTTTGTAGAATCTGCAAGTGGATATTTGGACCTCTCTGAGGATATCGTTGGAAACGGGATAAACCTCACCTATCTAAACAGAAGCATTCTCAGAACCTTCTTCGTGATGTTTGCATTCAACTCACAGTGTTGATCCTTTCTCTGATAATTCAGGTTTGAAACACTCTTTCTGTAGAATCTGCAAGTGGAGATTTGGACCTCTTTGAGGCCTATCGTGGTAAAGGAAATAACTTCATCTAAAAACAAGACAGAAGCATTCTCAGAAAATTCTTTGTGATGTTGGCATTCCACTCACAGGGTTGAACCTTCCTTTCTGAGTTCTGGTTGAAACACTCTTTTTGTAGAATCTGCAAGTGGAGATTTGGACTGCTTGGAGGCCTACGGTAGTAAAGGAAATAGCTTCATGTAAAAACTGGACAGAAGCATTCTCAGAAAATACTTTGTGATGATTGAATTTAACTCACAGATCTGAACGTGCCTTTGGATGGAGCAGTTTTGAAACACACTTTTTGTAGAATCTGCAAGTGGATATTTGGACCTCTCTGAGGATTTTGTTGGAAACGGGATAACATCATCTAACTAAACAGAAGCTTTCCCAGAAACTTCTTTGTAATGTTTGCATTCAAAGCCCAGAGTTGAACCTTCCTTTGTTAGTTCACGTTTGTAACACTCTTTTTGTAGGATCTGCATGTGGATATTTGGAGCACTTTGTGGCCTTCATTCGAAACGGGTATATCTTCACGTAAAATCTAGACGGAAGCCTTCTCAGAAACTGCTTTGTGATGATTGCATTCAACTCGCAGAGTTGAACATTCCTTTTGATACAGCAGTTTTGAAACTCTCTTTTTGTAGAATCTGCAAGTGGATATGTGGACCTCTGTGAAGATTTCTTTGGAAACGGGAATATCTTCACATAAAAAATAAACAGAAGCATTCTCAGAAACTTCTTTGTGAGGCTTGTGGTCAACTCCCAGAGTTTAACATTGCTTTTCATAGAGCAGTTTTGAAGCATTCTTTTCGTAGAGTCTGCAAGTGGACATTTACAGCGCTTTCAGGCCTGTGGTGGAAAAGGAAATATCTTCACATAAAAACTAGGGAGAAGCATTGTCAGAAACTTCTTTGTGATGATTGCATTGAACTCACGGAGTTGAAGATTCCTTTTGATACAGCAGTTTGGAATCACTCTTTCGGTGGAATCTGCAAGCGGATATTTGGACCTCTTTGAAGATTTCGATGGAAAAGGGATAATCTTCCCATAAAAGCTACACTGAAGTATTCTCAGAAACTTCTTTGTGGTGTTTGCATTCAACTCACAGAGTTGTACTTTCTTTTTGATAGAGCAGCCTTGAAACCCTCTCTTTCTAGAATCTGCAAATGGACATTTGGAGGGCTTCGAGGCCTGTGGTGGGAAAGGAAATATCTTCTCATAAAAGCTAGATGGAAGCATTCTCAGAAACTACTTTTTTGATGATTGCATTCAAGTCACAGAGTTGAACATTCCCTTTGATAGAGCCGTTTGGAAACACACTTTTGGTAGAATCTGAAAGGGGAGATTTGGACCGCTTTCAGGCCTACGGCAGCAGAGCAAATAACTACATATAAAAACAAGACAGTAGCATTCTCAGGAAACAATTTGTGACGATTGAGTTCAACTCACAGAGCTGAACATTCCTTTGGATGGAGCAGTTTCAAAACACACTTTTTGTAGAATCTGCAAGTGGATATTTGGACCTCTCTGAGGATTTCGTTGGAAACGGGAGAAACCTCACCTATCTAAACAGAAGCATTCTCAGAACCTTCTTCGTGATGTTTGCATTCAACTCACAGTGTTGAACCTTCCTCTGATAGTTCAGGTTTGAAACACTCTTTCTGTAGAATCTGCAAGTGGAGATTTGGACCTCTTTGAGGCCTATCGTAGTAAAGGAAATATCTTCATCTAAAAAGAAGACAGATGCATTCTCAGAAAATTCTTTGTGATGATTGAGTTTAACTCACAGAGCTGAGCATTCCTTTTGATGGAGCAGTTTCGAAACACACTTTTTTTAGAATATGCAAGTGGATATTTGGACTTCTCTGAGGATTTCATTGGAAACGGGATAAACCTCACTTAACTAAACAGAAGCATTCTCAGAAACTTCTTTGTGATGTTGGCATTCAACTCACAGATTTGAACCTTCCTTTGTGAGTTGAGGTTGAGACACTCTTTTTGTAGAATCTGCAAGTGGAGATTTGGACCGCTTTGGGGCCTACGGTAGTAAAGGAAATAGCTTCCTGTAAAAACTGGACAGAAGCATTCTCAGAAAATACTTTGTGACGATTGAGTTTAACTCATAGAGCTGAACATTCCTTTGCATGGAGCAGTTTTGAAACACACTTTTTGTAGAATCTGCAAGTGGATATTTCGACCTCTCTGAGGATTTCGTTGGAAATGGGATAACGTCACCTAACTAAACAGAAGCATTGGCAGAAACTTCTTTGGGATGTTTGCATTTTATGTTTGTTGAAATAGAGAGTTGATGACTGGAGCTCATTCAGGCATTTCAGTTCCTGAGGCGGAAGTCCTAGTCTGAGTATGATTGAACAGAAAGAGAGAGGAGCTTTGGTCCCTGATAATTTTATGAATTTCAACAGGATGCCTTTATCTTGATGTCTTTATATGAAAGCGAATCAATCTGTATCTTTCCTGGAAAGAGACAGAGAGAGACGGAGAGGGAGAGAGGGAGAGAGAGAGAAAGAGGGAGGGACCGAGAATATACATATATATGTTCTAGTGCTTCTGCTTACATTCCATTGAATGGACTTCTGCTTACACTTCTGATTACATTCCATTAGATAGAATTTAATCTTGTGGCTAACTCTAGCTCTGAGAAAATAAGAAAATGTAGTTTTTATTCTAATTATTTGTGAATACATCAGGGGTGCAATTCCCCAAAAGAATAATTACTATGCTTTGGAGGAATATGAGTAGACTCC
>NC_000001.11:121851670-121856465 GCF_000001405.40 Homo sapiens | reverse complement strand
GATGCGTGGTATCATATATATTTCATTGATGCCTAATTCTAACTTTTCACAAAATTGAGAGGGAAATTTAAAATCTTCATGGCTTGTATGTTCCTACATGACTCAGCCCTTGGCTTTCTCTGTTATTTCCTAACCTTCATCCTCATTCATTCTAGTACAGCTATGCCAAACTTCTTGCTGCTCCTTAGAGCACACCACACCATAAGGTTGTCCTTTCTGCCCTTCAGACTGTAATGCTATTTCCCCAGATACTCACATAACTTTAGTCTGATCTCTGCTTGGATCTTTTCCAGAAATGCCTTCAAGTCATCAGATATTAAATAAAAGCACAAGTTAGTCTTTCTTTGCCTGTTACTTCTTTTGTGGTACTTATTAATCTCAGCTAATATATTATATATTTTATTTTTTACTTTATCTGTCTTCTCTGTTAGAAGGTAAGTTCCATGAGGGTAGGCACTTCAATTTGTTTATCATGCTATCTCTTAGACCAATAAGTGTTCCAGGTACAGGTGTCCAATATATATTTATTGGCTGTATAAATGCATCAATAATTGATTATACATTAACTTACCCACAAAATGTTCTTATACTATTCTTAGAATATCATAAATTATATATTCTATGTACTATACCCAGGACATCCAGGATACAGTTAGGCTGGTAAACTGATAAGACACTGATCGTCATTTGGATGGTCAGTTTGTTAAAGGACCCCTGAAGAATCTTCAGAGTGTTACTTGGTGAATTCTTATGTTGTTCTGTGAGTTTTACATACAGAAAACAGGAAGAATTTTGCTGATATTAGACCTTAAGTTCAGTTTTTTTAATGGGAAAAGAGTAGAAAATAAATTCAGTGACTGTTACACCACAACCTGACCTGGACAATTTTTGACTCAACATGATACTATCTAACATTATATAATTCAAAATTCTGGAAATATACTGATTTCACACTACTGTGGGATTGTTTGGATACAAGTGTGTTATGGATGGGAGTAGAACTTTCCTTCATGAATATTCCCACAGTCAATTATACTGGACAAATTGTCAATCCTGGGGAAGAAAATTCCTCAAGAGCCTCAAGAGGCGCACCACAGCTGAGAAGTGTGAACATCTTTCATTTTCTCTAAATGTTTTGGACATTTGGCCTAGATTCAGTGAGACACAGGTAGTTCTCACATTGGTGGAGGCAACCTGGGTGTAAACAGGAAGAAGTAGGGCTGATAAAAACTCTGCGGTAAAGGGCTGCAACTGTGTAATAATTGTGAATTATTTTCTATGCTGTATTTTCTTCTAGTGTGGTCAAGCCTTTGGTAAAATCTTCACAAATGTTCTCTATGTCATGAAGAAGTAAGGAAAAGGGACTATTCTACATATTAGGGTAAAGCAGTCAGAGAGAAAGTAGAGTCCCTTTCCAAAAATTCAGAGAGCTGGTCTCTTGGTATGGATGTGCCCAAAATAGTGGTAATTAACCCAGGTGACATAGCTGAGACAACAGTACCATATAATAATAACAAAATTGGAGGGGCAAATCAGAAGGACCTGACACAAGAGCCAGAACTATGAAAAAAATTTAGAAATTGTTACGCTTGAGAATTTGATAAAGTGTTCATTTCTGCACTAAAGCGTGTAGGAACTCATTCCATTTTAAAGAAGGCTACCTAAGTAAGATCTCCTTTATATATTCTTTTCTATTTATATACCAGAGATCATTCATTTCAAAAAAAAATAGCATTTTTCACATTATACTGAAAATTGTTGCTTTTAACCCAAGACTAGCCAGTACATTCTTTAAAGACAGGAACTGCCTCATTTATCCATGTATTCCCAGTAACCAGCACATTGCTAAGCAAAGGGAGCCCTCCATAAATATTTGTGGAAGGCAGAAACAAATCTTTTAAATAGCATTTACCATCATTCCCATGATTTGAATGAAATAACATATACAAAATATGTGTCTTAATAATGTTAATTGAATCTTAAGTTGTGTCAAGGGCCTTGTACAAACAAAAACTGAAAACAATAAAGTCAGCAAGGAATATTTTAGAATACCTTTATTGCAAAAACACTTGTGCATTGTTATAGAATAAGAGGTTAAATGACATGAAAATAAAGCTCTACATCATTAAAATTCAATAATTTTCTTCTTCACATTTTTACAATTCCTACCCTGTCTTTCAAAATTACAAAACAAGAATTTGGAGTAGAGAAAAGCCTGTGGAAGAAACATGAGAATAAAAAGGTATTTTTCTCTCAATCCAACTATGACCTAATTCTAAGAAAACACACTAGCTCTAAATTATGTTCTCTCTAAATACTTAACTTCCTTCCTCAAGTGTAAGTTCTTGGTTTTTTTTTTTTTTTTTTGAGACGGAGTCTCTCTCTGCCTCCTGGGCTCAAGCGATTCTCCTGGCTCAGCCTCCCAAGTAGCTGGGACTACAGGCACATGCTACCGTGCCCAGCTGATTTTTGTATTATTAGTAGAGACAGGGTTTCACTATGTTGCCTAGGTTGGTCTTGAACTCCTGACCTCAGGTGATCCACCCACCTCGGCCTCCCAAAATGCTGGGATTAAAAGCGTGAGCCACCACACCAGGCCAGTTCTTGGTATTTCTAAGGCTAAAGCAAATGAACATGGTGGCTGATGCCCGATCCCTCACTAGATACTGGTTAGCAACAGTTCTGGCATATATAACATACCAAATGCAACCACATTCTATTGTGTGTAGTGTAAAAGGAAAATTGGTAAAAAAACATCTAAGTTCTTATTTATGATCTTAGCAGTTCAAAGGTTATGAAAGGAAAACATTTTGCCACAGTTCTCAGGAATTTGCAAAAATTCAATCATGTCATAGTTCATTCGTTTGGCATCCTTCTTTCTTAAGTCCGCCAAATGCAAGGACATTCAGCTCCTGTATTCTTTTAACGGCAGTCATTTGGACTGAGAAGCTTCCAGCTTAAGCTCAATCTTATGGATACTGATTGCTTTTCTGAAACATTCCATTATATTAATTGAAGCCCATTTACTCTGTGTGCACAGGGATACACAGACATAAACATTTAGCACTTTGGCAAATTGATATGATTAAAACAGAAAAGTAAGAATGACAGATTAATTTCATATGTTTTAGAGTGAGATTAATAGCCAAAAATGAAATAATGCCTGTTCCCGTTATATAAGGGAACATCATTGTTTCTTTCTACAACCGATTTGAATGAACAAGTTTTGGGATCTGAGCTCAAATTGTACTTCACCAGGAATTATTAAGCTCAGAATAACAGAAAATAGTAAGGCACTACTTAATAACTGTAAGAACAGAAATTGATGTTTCATTGCTGAGGTTTAATTTTCTTAACTGTGGTTTCCTCTGTATAAGTAGATTTACAGTTTCTATCACCTCCGTGTGCTTTCATAACATTAAAAAATAAACTTTGAAAGAGTGATGCCCACAAAATGGAAGAATAGGAAGTCCCAGCATTTAGTTCCCCCAGAGAAACAGCAAACAATAATATATACATGAAAATACCATTATGAGAAGTCTACAATGTAGGTAAAGAGGTGCAGCACAACACATGAGCACAAAACCAAGAACAGCCACACTGAAATGGATATGAGTAATTTCACTTTATCCACATCAGCCTTTCCCTGAAACTGGCACAGCTCAGCACAGAGAGAGATTGCCTGGCCCGTGACTTCTACAAAGGGAGTAAAGAGAGGGTGAACCATAAGCCTAGCTTCCCAGCTTTTCAATATGCTCCACAAGAGGCAAGTTTCTGTGTTACCACAAACAAAGTGCTGAAGGAAGCAGCATAGCTCAGATTACTGGGATAGCTTGGAACAAAGACAAAGGGGCGGGCACCCCCCCTACAGGTAGCACAGAGCTGCAAGATTGGAAACAGTACAGAACTGAGACTTCTCCCTCAGGAAAGAAGATGAGTGGAATGTGACTCCAATGTCCCTGGCCTTTCAGCACACTTCTCAAGGAGTCAGTGCCTGTCTTGCCTTACACGGAGCACTAAAGGAACTGACACAGTCTAACACCAGCAGGAGCAAGAAACCATGAGCTTTAAAAACAAAAAGACTAGATACCCGGGCAACTAGGAACACAGGCCTGGAATCCCTAGCCAGGCTGATCAGGAAATTTTTTTCTGTCAAAGCCACTTTATGGAGAATTGCTAGAAGAGTTAGTTGTTTCTTCAAATCTCCAGACATCAATACAAAGCTACAAAAAATAGGAAAAGATCAGGAAAGCATGATACAATCAAATAAAGAAAACAAATCTCTAGTAATGGATCCTAAAGAAAGGGAGATATAAAAACTATTTGACAAAGAATTCAAGATAGTCATCTTCAAGAGGCTCAGGAGTTGCAAGAGAACACAGACAATTAAACAAATTCTGAAAAATGTTGCGTAAGTAAACTAAGAATGTAAACAAATAGAAATTTTTTTTTAAAGAACCAAACAAAAATTCTGGAACTGAAGAATATAACTGAACTAAGATATTCAATGTAAGTGTTCAGGAGCATATTTAATCAAGCAGAAGAAAGAATTAGTGAACTCGGAGGGGTGGGGCCAAGATGGCTGAATAGGAACAGCTCCAGTCTACAGCTCCCAGCATGAACAATGCAGAAGACGGGTTATTTCTGCATTTCCAACTGAGGTACTGGGTTCATCTCACTGGGGAGTGTCAGAAAGTGGGCAGAGGACAGAGGGAGCAGTGCACCAAGACCAAGAGTGAGCCAAAGCAGGGCAAGACATCGACACACCTGGGAAGTGCAAGGGGTCAGGGAATTC
>NC_000001.11:121845941-121851570 GCF_000001405.40 Homo sapiens | reverse complement strand
CATTCAACTCACGGAGCTGAGGATTCCTTTGGATGCAGCAGTTTGGAAACACTCTTTCGGTGGAATCTGCAAGCGGATATGTGGACCTCTTTGAACATTTCGATGGAAAAGGGATAATCTTCCCGTAAAAGCTAAACGGAAGCATGCTCAGGAATTTCCTTGTGATGTTTGCATTCAACTCACAGAGTTGTACTTTCCTTTTGATAGAGCAGCTTTGAAACCCCCTCTTTCTAGCATCTGCAAGGGGACATTTGGAGGGCTTCGAGGCCTGGGGTGGAAAAGGAAATATCTTCTCATCAAAGCTACATGGAAGCATTCTCAGAAGCTGCTTTGTGATGATTGCATTCAAGTCACCGAGTTGAACATCCCCTTTGATGGGGCCGTTTGGAAACACACTTTTGGTAGAATCTGAAAGGGGAGATTTGGACCGCTTTGAGGCCTATGGCAGTAGAGGATATAACTGCACATGAAAGCGAGACAGGAGCATTCCCAGGAAACGCTTTGTGACCATTGAGTTCAACTCACAGAGCTGAACATTCCCTTGGGTGGAGTAGTTTCCAAACACACTTTGTGTAGAATCTGCAAGTGGAGATTTGGACCGCTCTGAGGGTTTCGTTGGATACGGGAGAAAAGTCACCTACGTAAACAGAAGCATTCTCAGAACCTTCTTCGTGATGCTTGCATTCAACTCACAGTGTTGAAACTTTCTCTGACAGTTCAGGTTTGAAACACTCCTTCTGCAGAATCTGCAAGTGGAGATTTGGACCTCCTTGAGGCCTATCGTAGTAAAGGAAAGAACTTCATCTAAAAACAAGACGGAAGCATTCTCAGAAAATACTTTGCGATGATTGAGTTTAACTCACAGAGCTGAGCATATCTTTTGATGGCGCATTTTCAAAACACACCTTTTGTGGAATATGCAAGTGGATTTTGGGACTTCTCTGAGAATTTCGTTGGAAACGGGATAAACCTCACGTAACTGAAGAGGAACATTCTCAGAAGTTCTTGGTGATGTTGGCATTCAACTGGCAGAGTTGAACCTTCCCTTGTGAGTTCAGGTTGAAACGCTCTTTTCGTAGTATCTGCAAGTGGAGGTTTGGAACGCTTTGAGGCCTACGGTAGTAAAGGAAACAGCTTCATGTAAAAACTGGACAGAAGCATTCTCAGAAAATACTTTGGGATGATTGAGTTCAACTCACAGAGCTGAACATTCCTTTGGGTGGAGGAGTTTTGAAACACACTTTTGTAGACTCTGCAGGTGGATATTTGGACGTCTCTGAGGATTTCGTTGCAGACGGGATAACGTCACCTAACTAAACAGAAGCTTCCGCAGAAACATCCTTCTGACGTTGGCCTTCAAAGTCCCGAGTTGAGCCTTCCTTTGGTAGTTCACGTTTGAAACACTCTTTTTGGAGGACCTGCAAGTGGATATTTGGAGCACTTTGTGGCCTTCGTTCGAAACGGCTATATCTTCACATAAAATCTAGACAGAAGCCTTCTCAGAATCTTCTCTGTGATGATTGCCCGCAACTCACAGAGTTGAACATTCCTTTTGATAGAGCAGTTTTGAAACTCTCTAGTTTTCCTGGCATCTGCAAATGGATAGGTGGAACTCTGTGAAGACTTCTTTGGAAACGGGAATATCCTCACGTAAAAAGTAAACAGAAGCATTCTCAGAAACTCCTTTGTGAGGCTTGTGTTCAACTCCCAGAGTATAACATTGCTTTTCATAGAGCAGTTTTGAAACATTCTTTTCGTAGAGCCTCCAAGTGGACATTTGGAGCGCTTTCAGGCCTGCGGTGGAAAAGGAAATATCTTCACATAAAAGCTAGAGAGAAGCATTGTCAGAAACTTCTTGGTGATGATTGCATTCAACTCACGGAGCTGAGGATTCCTTTTGATGCAGCAGTTTGGAAACACTCTTTCGGTGGAATCTGCAAGCGGATATGTGGACCTCTTTGACCATTTCGATGGAAAAGGGATAATCTTCCCATAAAAGCTAAACGGAAGCATGCTCAGGAACTTCCTTGTGATGTTTGCATTCAACTCACAGAGTTGTACTTTCCTTCTGATAGAGCAGCTTTGAAACCCCCTCTTTCTAGCATCTGCAAGGGGACATTTGGAGGGCTTCGAGGCCTGGCGTGGAAAAGGAAATATCTTCTCATCAAAGCTACATGGAAGCATTCTCAGAAGCTGCTTCGGGATGATTGCATTCAAGTCACCGAATTGAATATCCCCTTTGATGGGGCCGTTTGGAAACACACTTTTGGTAGAATCTGAAAGGGGAGATTTGGACCGCTTTGAGGCCTATGGCAGTAGAGGATATTACTGCACATAAAAGCGAGACAGGAGCATTCCCAGGAAACACTTTGTGACGATTGAGTTCAACTCACAGAGCTGAACATTCCTTTCGATGGAGCAGTTTCCAAACACACTTTGTGTAGAATCTGCAAGTGGAGATTAGGACCGCTCTGAGGATTTCGTTGGATACGGGACAAAACTCACCTACGTAAACAGAAGCATTCTCAGAACCTTCTTCGTGATGCTTGCATTCAACTCACAGTGTTGAACCTTTCTCTGACAGTTCAGGTTTGAAACACTCCTTCTGCAGAATCTGCAAGTGGAGATTTGGACCTCTTTGAGGCCTATCGTAGTAAAGGAAAGAACTTCATCTAAAAACAAGACAGAAGCATTCTCAGAAAATTCTTTGCGATGATTGAGTTTAACTCACAGAGCTTAGCATATCTTTTGATGGCGCATTTTCAAGACACACCTTTTGTAGAATATGCAAGTGGATTTTGGGACTTCTCTGAGAATTTCGTTGGAAACGGGATAAACCTCACATAACTGAAGAGGAACATTCTCAGAAGTTCTTGGTGACGTTGGCATTCAACTGACAGAGTTGAACCTTCCCTTGTGAGTTCAGGTTGAAACGCTCTTTTCGTAGTATCTGCAAGTGGAGGTTTGGAACGCTTTGAGGCCTACGGTAGTAAAGGAAACAGCTTCATGTAAAAACTGGACAGAAGCCTTCTCAGAAAATACTTTGGGATGATTGAGTTCAACTCACAGAGCTGAACATTCCTTTGGGTGGAGCAGTTTTGAAACACACTTTTTGTAGACTCTGCAGGTGGATATTTGGACCTCTCTGAGGATTTCGTTGGAAACGGGATAACGTCACCTAACTAAACAGAAGCTTCCGCAAAAACATCCTTCTGACGTTGGCCTTCAAAGTCCCGAGTTGAGCCTTCCTTTGGTAGTTCACGTTTGAAACACTCTTTTTGGAGGACCTGCAAGTGGATATTTGGAGCACTTTGTGGCCTTCATTCGAAACGGCTATATCTTCACATAAAATCTAGACAGAAGCCTTCTCAGAAACTTCTCTGTGATGATTGCACGCAACTCACAGAGGTGAACATTCCTTTTGATAGAGCAGTTTTGAAACTCTCTAGTTTTGCTGGCATCTGCAAATGGATAGGTGGAACTCTGTGAAGACTTCTTTGGAAACGGGAATATCCCCACGTAAAAAGTAAACAGAAGCATTCTCAGAAACTCCTTTGTGAGGCTTGTGTTCAACTCCCAGAGTATAACTTGGCTCTTCATAGAGCAGTTTTGAAACTTTCTTTTCGTAGAGCCTCCAAGTGGACATTTGGAGCGCTTTCAGGCCTGCGGTGGAAAAGGAAATATCTTCACATAAAAACTAGAGAGAAGCATTGTCACAAAATTCTTGGTGATGATTGCATTCAACTCACGGAGCTGAGGATTCCTTTTGATGCAGCAGTTTGGAAACACTCTTTCGGTGGAATCTGCAAGCGGATATGTGGACCTCTTTGAACATTTCGATGGAAAAGGGATAATCTTCCCGTAAAAGCTAAACGGAAGCATGCTCAGGAACTTCCTTGTGATGTTTGCATTCAACTCACAGAGTTGTACTTTCCTTCTGATAGAGCAGCTTTGAAACCCCCTCTTTCTAGCATCTGCAAGGGGACATTTGGAGGGCTTCGAGGCCTGGGGTGGAAAAGGAAATATCTTCTCATCAAAGCTACATGGAAGCATTCTCAGAAGCTGCTTTGTGATGATTGCTTTCAAGTCACCGAGTTGCACATTCCCTTTGATGGAGCCGTTTGGAAACACACTTCTGGTAGAATCTGAAAGGGGATATTTGGAACGCTTTGAGGCCTATGGCAGCAGAGGATATAACTGCACATAAAAGCGAGACAGGAGCATTCCCAGGAAACACTTTGTGACGATTGAGTTCAACTCACAGAGCTGAATATTCCTTTGGTTGGAGCAGTTTCCAAACACACTTTGTGTAGAATCTGCAAGTGGAGATTTGGACCGCTCTGAGGATTTCGCTGGATACGGGAGAAAACTCACCTACGTAAACAGAGGCATTCTCAGAACCTTCTTCGTGATGCTTGAATTCAATTCACAGTGTTGAACCTTTCTCTGACAGTTCAGGTTTGAAACACTCCTTCTGCAGAATCTGCAAGTGGAGATTTGGACCTCTTTGAGGCCTATCGTAGTAAAGGAAAGAACTTCATCTGAAAACAAGACAGAAGCATTCTCAGAAAATTCTTTGCGATGATTGAGTTTAACTCACAGAGCTGAGCATATCTTTTGATGGCGCATTTTCAAGACACACCTTTTGTAGAATATGCAAGTGGATTTTGGGACTTCTCTGAGAATTTCGTTGGAAACGGGATAAACCTCACATAACTGAAGAGGAACATTCTCAGAAGTTCTTGGTGACGTTGGCATTCAACTGACAGAGTTGAACCTTCCCTTGTGAGTTCAGGTTGAAACGCTCTTTTCGTAGTATCTGCAAGTGGAGGTTTGGAACGCTTTGAGGCCTACGGTAGTAAAGGAAACAGCTTCATGTAAAAACTGGACAGAAGCCTTCTCAGAAAATACTTTGGGATGATTGAGTTCAACTCACAGAGCTGAACCTTCCTTTGGGTGGAGCAGTTTTGAAACACACTTTTTGTAGACTCTGCATGTGGATATTTGGACCTCTCTGAGGATTTCGTTGAAAACGGGATAACGTCACCTAACTAAACAGAAGCTTCCGCAGAAACATCCTTCTGACGTTGGCCTTCAAAGTCCCGAGTTGAGCCTTCCTTTGGTAGTTCACGTTTGAAACACTCTTTTTGGAGGACCTGCAAGTGGATATTTGGAGCACTTTGTGGCCTTCGTTCGAAACGGCTATATCTTCACATAAAATCTAGACAGAAGACTTCTCAGAAACTTCTCTGTGATGATTGCACGCAACTCACAGAGTTGAACATTCCTTTTGATAGAGCAGTTTTGAAACTCTCTAGTTTTGCTGGCATCTGCAAATGGATAGGTGGAATTCTGTGAAAACTTCTTTGGAAACGGGAATATCCTCACGTAAAAAGTAAACAGAAGCATTCTCAGAAACTCTTTTGTGAGGTTTGTGTTCACTCCCAGAGTATAACATTGCTTTTCATAGAGCAGTTTTGAAACATTTTTTTCGTAGTGCCTCCAAGTGGACATTTGGGTCACTTCAGCCTGCGGTGGAAAAGGAATATCTTCCCTANAACTAGAGAGAGCATGTCAGAAACTTCTGGGGATATGCATCACTCACGGACTAAGATTCTTTGATGCAGCA
>NC_000001.11:121829515-121845841 GCF_000001405.40 Homo sapiens | reverse complement strand
AAAGGAAATTCTCACATAAAACTAGAGAGAGCATGTCAGAACTTCTGGTGATGATGCATCAACTCACGAGCTGAGGGATTCCTTTGATGCAGCAGTTTGGAAACACTCTTTCGTGGAATCTGCAAGCGGATATGTGGACCTCTTGGAACATTTCGATGGAAAAGGGATAATCTTCCCTAAAAGCTAAACGGAAGCATGCTCAGGAACTTCCTTGTGATGTTGCATTCAACTCACAGAGTTGTACTTTCCTTCTGATAGAGCAGCTTTGAAACCCCCTCTTTCTAGCATCTGCAAGGGGACATTTGGAGGGCTTCGAGGCCTGGGGTGGAAAAGGAAATATCTTCTCATCAAAGCTACATGGAAGCATTCTCAGAAGCTGCTTTGTGATGATTGCATTCAAGTCACCGAGTTGAACATCCCCTTTGATGGGGCCGTTTGGAAACACACTTCTGGTAGTATCTGAAAGGGGAGATTTGGACCGCTTTGTGGCCTATGGCAGTAGAGGATATAACTGCACATAAAAGCGAGACAGGAGCATTCCCAGGAAACGCTTTGTGACGATTGAGTTCAACTCACGGAGCCGAACATTCCTTTGGGTGGAGCAGTTTCCAAACACAATTTGTGTAGAATCTGCAAGTGGAGATTTGGACCGTTCTGAGGATTTCGCTGGATACGGGAGAAAAGTCACCTACGTAAACAGAAGCATTCTCAGAACCTTCTTCGTGATGCTTCCATTCAACTCACAGTGTTGAACCTTTCCCTGACAGTTCAGGTTTGAAACACTCCTTCTGCAGAATCTGCAAGTGGAGATTTGGACCTCTTTGAGGCCTATCGTAGTAAAGGAAAGAACTTCATCTAAAAACAAGACAGAAGCATTCTCAGAAAATTCTTTGCAATGATTGAGTTTAGCTCACAGAGCTGAGCATATCTTTTGATGGCGCATTTTCCAAACACACCTTTTGTGGAATATGCAAGTGGATTTTGGGACTTTTCTGAGAATTTCGTTGGAAACGGGATAAACCTCACATAAATGAAGAGGAACATTCTCAGAACTTCTTGGTGATGTTGGCATTCAACTGACAGAGTTGAAACTTCCCTTGTGAGTTCAGGTTGAAACGCTCTTTTCGCACTATCTGCAAGTGGAGGTTTGGAACGCTTTGAGGCCTACGTTAGTAAAGGAAACAGCTTCATGTAAAAACTGGACAGAAGCATTCTCAGAACATACTTTGGGATGATTGAGTTCAACTCACAGAGCTGAACATTCCTTTGGGTGGAGCAGATTTGAAACACACTTTTTGTAGACTCTGCAGGTAGATATTTGGACCTCTCTGAGGACTTCGTTGGAAACGGGATAACGTCACCTAACTAAACAGAAGCTTTCGCAGAAACATCCTTCTGTCGTTGGCCTTCAAAGTCCGAGTTGAGCCTTCCTTTGGTAGTTCACGTTTGAAACACTCTTTTTGGAGGACCTGCAAGTGGATATTTGGAGCACTTTGGGGCCTTCGTTCGAAATGGCTATATCTTCACATAAAATCTAGACAGAAGCCTTCTCAGAAACTTCTCTGTGATGATTGCATGCAACTCACAGAGTTGAACATTCCTTTTGATGGAGCAGTTTTGAAACTCTCTTTTGCTAGCATCTGCAAATGGATAGGTGGAACTCTGTGAAGACTTCTTTGGAAACGGGAATATCCTCACGTAAAAAGTAAACACAAGCATTCTCAGAAACTCCTTTGTGAGGCTTGTGTTCAACTCCCAGAGTATAACATTGCTTTTCATAGAGCAGTTTTGAAACATTCTTTTAGTAGAGCCTCCAAGTGGACATTTGGAGCGCTTTCAGGCCTGCGGTGGAAAAGGAAATATCTTCACATAAAAACTAGAGAGAAGCATTGTCAGAATCTTCTTGGTGATGATTGCATTCAACTCACGGAGCTGAGGATTCCCTTTAATGCAGCAGTTTGCAAACACTCTTTCGGTGGAATCTGCAAGCGGATATGTGGACCTCTTTGACCATTTCGATGGAAAAGGGATAATCTTCCCGTAAAAGCTAAACGGAAGCATGCTCAGGAACTTCCTTGTGATGTTTGCATTCAACTCACAGAGTTGTACTTTCCTTCTGATAGAGCAGCTTTGAAACCCCCTCTTTATAGCATCTGCAAGGGGACATTTGGAGGGCTTCGAGGCCTGGGGTGGAAAAGGAAATATCTTCTCATCAAAGCTACATGGAAGCATTCTCAGAAGCTGCTTTGTGATGATTGCATTCAAGCCACCGAGTTGAACATTCCTTTTGATGGAGCCGTTTGGAAACACACTTCTGGTAGAATCTGAAAGGGGAGATTTGGACCGCTTTGGGGCCTATATCAGTGGAGGATATAACTGCACATAAAAGCGAAACAGGAGCATTCCCAGGAAACACTTTGTGACGATTGAGTTCAACTCACAGAGCTGAACATTCCTTTGGATGAAGCAGTTTCCAAACACACTTTGTGTAGAATCTGCAAGTGGAGATTTGGACCGCTCTGAGGATTTCGTTGGATAAGGGAGAAAACTCACCTACGTAAACAGAAGCATTCTCAGAACCTTCTTCGTGATGCTTGCATTCAACTCACAGTGTTGAACCTTTCTCTGACAGTTCAGGTTTGAAACACTCCTTCTGCAGAATCTGCAAGTGGAGATTTGGACCTCTTTGAGGCCTATCGTAGTAAAGGAAAGAACTTCATCTAAAAACAAGACAGAAGCATTCTCAGAAAATTCTTTGCGATGATTGAGTTTAACTCACAGAGCTGAGCATATCTTTTGATGGCGCATTTTCAAGACACACCTTTTGTAGAATATGCAAGTGGATTTTGGGACTTCTCTGAGAATTTCGTTGGAAACGGGATAAACCTCACATAACTGAAGAGGAACATTCTCAGAAGTTCTTGGTGACGTTGGCATTCAACTGACAGAGTTGAACCTTCCCTTCTGAGTTCAGGTTGAAACGCTCTTTTCGTAGTATCTGCAAGTGGAGGTTTGCAACGCTTTGAGGCCTACGGTAGTAAAGGAAACAGCTTCATGTAAAAACTGGACAGAAGCCTTCTCAGAAAATACTTTGGGATGATTGAGTTCAACTCACAGAGCTGAACCTTCCTTTGGGTGGAGCAGTTTTGAAACACACTTTTTGTAGACTCTGCAAGTGGATATTTGGACCTCTCTGAGGATTTCGTTGGAAACGGGATAACGTCACCTAACTAAACAGAAGCTTCCGCAGAAACATCCTTCTGACGTTGGCCTTCAAAGTCCCGAGTTGAGCCTTCCTTTGGTAGTTCACGTTTGAAACACTCTTTTTGGAGGACCTGCAAGTGGATATTTGGAGCACTTTGTGGCCTTCGTTCGAAACGGCTATATCTTCACATAAAATCTAGACAGAAGCCTTCTCAGAAACTTCTCTGTGATGATTGCACGCAACTCACAGAGTTGAACATTCCTTTTGATAGAGCAGTTTTGAAACTCTCTAGTTTTGCTGGCATCTGCAAATGGATAGGTGGAACTCTGTGAAGAATTCTTTGGAGACGGGAATATCCTCACGTAAAAACTAAACAGAAGCATTCTCAGAAACTCCTTTGTGAGACTTGTGTTCAACTCCCAGAGTATAACATTGCTCTTCATAGAGCAGTTTTGAAACATTCTTTTCGTAGAGCCTCCAAGTGGACATTTGGAGCGCTTTCAGGCCTTCGGTGGAAAAGGAAATATCTTCACATAAAAACTAGAGAGAAGCATTGTCAGAAACTTCTTGGTGATGATTGCATTCAACTCACGGAGCTGAGGATTCCTTTTGATGCAGCAGTTTGGAAACACTCTTTCGGTGGAATCTGCAAGCGGATATGTGGACCTCTTTGAACATTTCTATGGAAAAGGGATAATCTTCCCGTAAAAGCTAAACGGAAGCATGCTCAGGAACTTCCTTGTGATGTTTGCATTCAACTCACAGCGTTCTACTTTCCTTTTGATAGAGCAGCTTTGAAACCCCCTCTTTCTAGCATCTGCAAGGGGACATTTGGAGGGCTTCGAGGCCTGGGGTGGAAAAGGAAATATCTTCTCATCAAAGCTACATGGAAGCATTCTCAGAAGCTGCTTTGGGATGATGCATTCAAGTCACCGAGTTGAACATTCCCTTTGATGGAGCCGTTTGGAAACACACTTTTGGTAGGATCTGAAAGGGGAGATTTGGACCGCTTTGAGGCCTATGGCAGTAGAGGATATAACTGCACATAAAAGCGACACAGGAGCATTCCCAGGAAACACTTTGTGACGCTTGAGTTCAACTCACAGAGCTGAACATTCCTTTGGATGGAGCAGTTTCCAAACACACTTTGTGTAGAATCTGCAAGTGGAGATTTGGACCGCTCTGAGGATTTCGTTGGATATGGCAGAAAACTCACCTACGTAAACAGAAGCATTCTCAGAACCTTCTTCGTGATGCTTGCATTCAACTCACAGTGTTGAACCTTTCTCTGACAGTTCAGGTTTGAAACACTCCTTCTGCAGAATCTGCAAGTGGAGATTTGGACCTCTTTGAGGCCTATCGTAGTAAAGGAAAGAACTTCATCTAAAAACAAGACAGAAGCATTCTCAGAAAATTCTTTGCGATGATTGAGTTTAACTCACAGAGCTGAGCATATCTTTTGATGGCGCATTTTCAAGACACACCTTTTGTAGAATATGCAAGTGGATTTTGGGACTTCTCTGAGAATTTCGTTGGAATCGGGATAAACCTCACATAACTGAAGAGGAACATTCTCAGAACTTCTTGGTGATGTTGGCATTCAACTGACAGAGTTGAACCTTCCCTTGTGAGTTCAGGTTGAAACGCTCTTTTCGTAGTATCTGCAAGTGGAGGTTTGGAACGCTTTGAGGCCTACGGTAGTAAAGGAAACAGCTTCATGTAAAAACTGGACAGAAGCATTCTCAGAAAATACTTTGGGATGATTGACTTCAACTCACAGAGCTGAACATTCCTTTGGATGGAGCAGTTTCCAAACACACTTTGTGTAGAATCTGCAAGTGGAGATTTGGACCGCTCTGAGGATTTCGTTGGATACGGGAGAAAACTCACCTACGTAAACAGAAGCATTCTCAGAACCTTCTTCGTGATGCTTGCATTCAACTCACAGTGTTGAATCTTTCTCTGACAGTTCTGGTTTGAAACACTCCTTCTGCAGAATCTGCAAGTGGAGATTTGGACCTCTTTGTTGCCTATCGTAGTAAACGAAAGAACTTCATCTAAAAACAAGACAGAAGCATTCTCAGAAAATTATTTGTGATGATTGAGTTTAACACACAGACCTGAGCATATCTTTTGATGGCGCATTTTCCAAAAACACCTTTTGTAGAATATGCAAGTGGATTTTGGGACTTCTCTGAGAATTTCGTTGGAATCGGGATAAACCTCACATAACTGAAGAGGAACATTCTCAGAACTTCTTGGTGATGTTGGCATTCAACTGACAGAGTTGAACCTTCCCTTGTGAGTTCAGGTTGAAACGCTCTTTTCGTAGTATCTGCAAGTGGAGGTTTGGAACGCTTTGAGGCCTACGGTAGTAAAGGAAACAGCTTCATGTAAAAACTGGACAGAAGCCTTCTCAGAAAATACTTTGGGATGATTGAGTTCAACTCACAGAGCTGAACATTCCTTTGGGTGGAGCAGTTTTGAAACACACTTTTTGTAGACTCTGCAGGTGGATATTTGGACCTCTCTGAGGATTTCGTTGGAAACGGTATAACGTCACATAACTAAACAGAAGCTTTCGCAGAAACATCCTTCTGACGTTGGCTTTCAAAGTCCCGAGTTGAGCCTTCCTTTGGTAGTTCACGTTTGAAACACTCTTTTTGGAGGACCTGCAAGTGGATATTTGGAGCACTTTGTGGCCTTCGTTCGAAACGACTATATCTTCACATAAAATCTAGACAGAAGCCTTCTCACAAACTCCTCTGTGATGATTGCACGCAACTCACAGAGTTGAACATTCCTTTTGATAGAGCAGTTTTGAAACTCTCTAGTTTTGCTGGCATCTGCAAATGGATAGGTGGAACTCTGTGAAGATTTCTTTGGAAACGGGAATATCCTCACGTAAAAAGTAAACAGAAGCATTCTCAGAAACTCCTTTGTGAGGCTTGTGTTCAACTCCCAGAGTATAACATTGCTTTTCATAGAGCAGTTTTGAAACATTCTTTTCGTAGAGCCTCCAAGTGGACATTTGGAGCGCTTTCAGGCCTGTGTTGGAAAAGGAAATATCTTCACATAAAAACTAGAGAGAAGCATTGTCAGAAACCTCTTGGTGATGATTGCATTCAACTCACGGAGCTGAGGATTCCTTTTGATGCAGCAGTTTGGAAACACTCTTTCGGTGGAATCTGCAAGCGGATATGTGGACCTCTTTGAACATTTCGATGGAAAAGGGATAATCTTCCCATAAAAGCTAAACGAAAGCATGCTCAGGAACTTCCTTGTGATGTTTGCATTCAACTCACAGAGTTGTACTTTCCTTTTGATAGAGCAGCTTTGAAACCCTCTCTTTCTAGCATCTGCAAGGGGACATTTGGAGGGCTTTGAGGCCTGGGGTGGAAAAGGAAATATCTTGTCATCAAAGCTACATGGAAGCATTCTCAGAAGCTGCTTTGTGATGATTGCATTCAAGTCACCGAGTTGAACATTCCCTTTGATGGAGCCGTTTGGAAACACACTTTTGGTAGGATCTGAAAGGGGAGATTTGGACCGCATTGAGGCCTATGGCAGTAGAGGATATAACTGCACATAAAAACGAGACAGGAGCATTCCCAGGAAACACTTTGTGACGATTGAGTACAACTCACAGAGCTGAACATTCCTTTGGATGGAGCAGTTTCCAAACACACTTTGTGTAGAATCTGCAAGTGGAGATTTGGACCGCTCTGAGGATTTCGTTGGATTTGGGAGAAAAGTCACCTACGTAAACAGAAGCATTCTCAGAACCTTCTTCGTGAAGCTTGCATTCAACTCACAGTGTTGAACCTTTCTCTGACAGTTTAGGTTTGAAACACTCCTGCAGAATCTGCAAGTGGAGATTTGGACCTCTTTGAGGCCTATCGTAGTAAAGGAAAGAACTTCATCTAAAAACAAGACAGAAGCATTCTCAGAAAATTCTTTGCGATGATTGAGTTTAACTCACAGAGCTGAGCATATCTTTTGATGGCGCATTTTCAAAACACACCTTTTGTAGAATATGCAAGTGGATTTTGGGACTTCTCTGAGAATTTCGTGGANAACGGGATAAACCTCACATAACTGAAGAGGAACATTCTCAGAACTTCTTTGTGATGTTGGCATTCAACTGACAGAGTTGAACCTTCCCTTGTGAGTTCAGGTTGAAACGCTCTTTTCGTACTATCTGCAAGTGGAGATTTGGAACGCTTTGAGGCCTACGGTAGTAAAGGAAACAGCTTCAGGTAAAAACTGGACAGAAGCATTCTCAGAAAATACTTTGGGATGATTGACTTCAACTCACAGAGCTGAACATTCCTTTGGGTGGAGCAGTTTTGAAACACACTTTTTGTAGACTCTGCAGGTGGATATTTGGACCTCTCTGAGGATTTCGTTGGAAACGGGATAACGTCACCTAACTAAACAGAAGCTTTCGCAGAAACATCTTTCTGACGTTGGCATTCAAAGTCCAGAGTTGAGCCTTCCTTTGGTAGTTCACGTTTGAAACACTCTTTTTGGAGGACCTGCAAGTGGATATTTGGAGCACTTTGTGGCCTTCGTTCGAAACGGCTATATCTTCACATAAAATCTAGACAGAAGCCTTCTCAGAAACTTCTCTGTGATGATTGCATGCAACTCACAGAGTTGAACATTCCTTTTGATAGAGCAGTTTTGAAACTGTCTTTTGCTAGCATCTGCAAATGGATAGGTGGAACTCTGTGAAGACTTCTTTGGAAACGGGAATATCCACACGTAAAAAGTAAACAGAAGCATTCTCAGAAACTCCTTTGTGAGGCTTGTGTTCAACTCCCAGAGTATAACATTGCTTTTCATAGAGCAGTTTTGAAACATTCTGTTCGTAGAGCGTCCAGGTGGACATTTGGAACGCTTTCAGGCCTGTGTTGGAAAAGGAAATATCTTCACATAAAAACTAGAGAGAAGCATTGTCAGAAACCTCTTGGTGATGATTGCATTCAACTCACGGAGCTGAGGATTCCTTTTGATGCAGCAGTTTGGAAACACTCTTTCGGTGGAATCTGCAAGCGGATATGTGGACCTCTTTGAACATTTCGATGGAAAAGGGATAATCTTCCCGTAAAAGCTAAACGGAAGCATGCTCAGGAACTTGTTTGTGATGTTTGCATTCAACTCACAGAGTTGTACTTTCCTTTTGATAGAGCAGCTTTGAAACCCTCTCTTTCTAGCATCTGCAAGGGGACATTTGGAGGGCTTCGAGGCCTGGGGTGGAAAAGGAAATATCTTCTCATCAAAGCTACATGGAAGCATTCTCAGAAGCTGCTTTGTGATGATTGCATTCAAGTCACCGAGGTCAACATTCCCTTTGATGGAGCCGTTTGGAAACACACTTTTGGTAGAAACTGAAAGGGGAGATTTGGACCGTTTTGGGGCCTATTGCAGTAGAGGATATAACTGCACATAAAAACGAGACAGGAGCATTCCCAGGAAACACTTTGTGACGATTGAGTTCAATTCACAGAGCTGAACATTCCTTTGGATGGAGCAGTTTCCAAACACACTTTGTGTAGAATCTGCAAGTGGAGATTTGGACCGCTCTGAGGATTTCGTTGGATACGGGAGAAAACTCACCTATGTAAACAGAAGCATTCTCAGAACCTTCTTCGTGATGCTTGCATTCAACTCACAGTGTTGAACCTTTCTCTGATAGTTCAGGTTTGAAACACTCCTTCTGCAGAATCTGCAAGTGGAGATTTGGACCTCTTTGAGGCCTATCGTAGTAAACGAAAGAACTTCATCTAAAAACAAGACAGAAGCATTCTCAGAAAATTCTTTGTGATGATTGAGTTTAACTCACAGAGCTGAGCATATCTTTTGATGGATACGGGAGAAAACTCACCTATATAAACAGAAGCATTCTCAGAACCTTCTTCGTGATGCTTGCATTCAACTCACAGTGTTCAACCTTTCTCTGATAGTTCAGGTTTTAAACACTCCTTCTGCAGAATCTGCAAGTGGAGATTTGGACCTCTTTGAGGCCTATCGTAGTAAAGGATATAACCTCATCTAAAAACAAGACAGAAGCATTCTCAGAAAATTCGTTGTGATGATTGAGTTTAACACACAGAGCTGAGCATATCTTTTGATGGAGCATTTTGAAAACACACCTTTTGTAGAATATGCAAGTGGATTTTGGGACTTCTCTGAGAATTTCGTTGGAAACGGGATAAACCTCACATAACTGAAGAGGAACATTCTCAGAAGTTCTTGGTGACGTTGGCATTCAACTGACAGAGTTGAACCTTCCCTTGTGAGTTCAGGTTGAAACGCTCTTTTCGTACTATCTGCAAGTGGAGGTTTGGAACGCTTTGAAGCCTACGGTAGTAAAGGAAACAGCTTCATGTAAAAACTGGACAGAAGCCTTCTCAGAAAATACTTTGGGATGATTGAGTTCAACTCACAGAGCTGAACCTTCCTTTGGGTTGAGCAGTTTTGAAACACACTTTTTGTAGACTCTGCAGGTGGATATTTGGACCTCTCTGAGGATTTCGTTGGAAACGGGATAACGTCACCTAACTAAACAGAAGCCTCCGCAGAAACATCCTTCTGACGTTGGTCTTCAAAGTCCCGAGTTGAGCCTTCCTTTGGTAGTTCACGTTTGAAACACTCTTTTTGGAGGACCTGCAAGTGGATATTTGGAGCACTTTGTGGCCTTCGTTCGAAACGGCTATATCTTCACATACAATCTAGACAGAAGCCTTCTCAGAAACTTCTCTGTGATGATTGCACGCAACTCACAGAGTTGAACATTCCTTTTGATAGAGCAGTTTTGAAACTCTCTAGTTTTGCTGGCATCTGCAAATGGATAGGTGTAACTCTGTGAAGACTTCTTTGGAGACGGGAATATCCTCACGTAAAAAGTAAACAGAAGCATTCTCAGAAACTCCTTTGTGAGGCTTGTGTTCAACTCCCAGAGTATAACATTGCTTTTCATAGAGCAGTTTTGAAACATTCTTTTCGTAGAGCCTCCAAGTGGACATTTGGAGCGCTTTCAGGCCTGTGGTGGAAAAGGAAATATCTTCACATAAAAACTAGAGAGAAGCATTGTCAGAAACTTCTTGGTGATGATTGCATTCAACTCACGGAGCTGAGGATTCCTTTTGATGCAGCAGTTTGGAAACACTCTTTCGGTGAAATCTGCAAGCGGATATGTGGACCTCTTTGAACATTTCGATGGAAAAGGGATAATCTTCCCGTAAAAGCTAAACGGAAGCATGCTCAGGAACTTCCTTGTGATGTTTGCATTCAACTCACAGCGTTGTACTTTCCTTTTGATAGAGCAGCTTTGAAACCCCCTCTTTCTAGCATCTGCAAGGGGACATTTGGAGGGCTTCGAGGCCTGGGGTGGAAAAGGAAATATCTTCTCATCAAAGCTACATGGAAGTATTCTCAGAAGCTGCTTTGGAATGATTGCATTCAAGTCAGCGAGTTGAACATTCCCTTTGATGGAGCCGTTTGGAAACACACTTTTGGTAGGATCTGAAAGGGGAGATTTGGACTGCTTTGTGGCCTATGGCAGTAGAGGATATAACTGCACATAAAAACGAGACAGGAGCATTCTCAGGAAACGCTTTGTGACGATTGAGTTCAACTCACGGAGCTGAATATTCCTTTGGATGGAGCAGTTTCCAAACACACTTTGTGTAGAATCTGCAAGTGGAGATTTGGACCGCTCTGAGGATTTCGTTGGATACGGGAGAAAAGCCACATATGTAAACAGAAGCATTCTCAGAAACTTCTTTGTGATGCTTGCATTCATCTCACAGTGTTGAACCTTTCTCTCATAGTTCAGGTTTGAAACACTCCTTCTGCAGAATCTGCAAGTGGAGATTTGGACCTCTTTGAGGCCTATCGTAGTAAAGGAAAGAACTTCATCTAAAAACAAGACAGAAGCATTCTCAGAAAATTCTTTGTGATGATTGTGCTTAACTCACAGAGCGGAGCATATCTTTTGATGGCGCATTTTCAAAACACACCTTTTGTAGAATATGCAAGTGGATTTTGGGAATTCTCTGAGAATTTCGTTGGAAACCGGATAAACATCACATAACTGAAGAGGAACATTCTCAGAACTTCTTGGTGATGTTGGCATTCAACTGACAGAGTTGAACCTTCCCTTGTTAGTTCAGGTTGAAACGCTCTTTTCGTACTATCTCCAAGTGGAGATTTGGAACGCTTTGAGGCATACGGTAGTAAAGGAAACAGCTTCATGTAAAAACTGGACAGAAGCATTCTCAGAAAATACTTTGGGATGATTGAGTTCAACTCACAGAGCTGAACATTCCTTTGGGTGGAGGAGTTTTGAAACACACTTTTTGTAGACTCTGCAGGTGGATATTTGGACCTCTCTGAGGATTTCGTTGGAAACGGGATAACGTCACCTAACTAAACAGAAGCTTTCGCAGAAACATCTTTCTGACGTTGGCCTTCAAAGTCCAGAGTTGAGCCTTCCTTTGGTAGTTCACGTTTGAAACACTCTTTTTGGAGGACCTGCAAGTGGATATTTTGAGCACTTTGTGGCCTTCGTTCGAAACGACTGTATCTTCACATAAAATCTAGACAGAAGCCTTCTCAGAAACTTCTCTGTGATGATTGCATGCAACTCACAGAGTTGAACATTCCTTTTGATAGAGCAGTTTTGAAACTGTCTTTTGCTAGCATCTGCAAATGGATAGGTGGAACTCTGTGAAGACTTCTTTGGAAACGGGAATATCCTCACGTAAAAAGTAAACAGAAGCATTCTCAGAAACTCCTTTGTGGGGCTTGTGTTCACTCCCAGAGTATAACATTGCTTTTCATAGAGCAGTTTTGAAACATTCTTTTCGTAGAGCCCCCAAGTGGACATTTGGAGGGCTTTCAGGCCTGTGGTGGAAAAGGAAATATCTTCACATAAAAACTAGAGAGAAGCATTGTCAGAAACTTCTTGGTGATGATTGCATTCAACTCACGGAGTTGAGGATTCCTTTTGATACAGCAGTTTGGAAACACTCTTTCGGTGAAATCTGCAAGCGGATATGTGGACCTCTTTGAACATTTCGATGGAAAAGGGATAATCTTCCCATAAAAGCTAAACGGAAGCATGCTCAGGAACTTGTTTGTGATGTTTGCATTCAACTCACAGAGTTGTACTTTCCTTTTGATAGAGTAGCTTTGAAACCCTCTCTTTCTAGCATCTGCAAGGGGACATTTGGAGGGCTTCGAGGCCTGGGGTGGAAAAGGAAATATCTTCTCATCAAAGCTACATGGAAGCATTCTCAGAAACTGGTTTGTGATGATTGCATTCAAGTCACCGAGTTGAACATTCCCTTTGATGGAGCCGTTTGGAAACACACTTTTGGTAGAATCTGAAAGGGGAGATTTGGACCGCTTTGAGGCCTATGGCAGTAGAGATATAACTGCACATAAAAAGGAGACAGAGCATCCCAGGAAACACTTTGTGACGATGAGTTCAATTCACAGAGCTGAACATTCCTTTGGATGGAGCAGTTTCAAAACACACTTTTTGTAGAATCTGCAAGTGGAGATTTGGACCGCTCTGAGGATTTCATTGGATACGGGAGAAAACTCACCTACGTAAACAGAAGCATTCTCAGAACCTTCTTCGTGATGCTTGCATTCAACTCACAGTGTTGAACCTTTCTCTGATAGTTCAGGTTTGAAACACTCCTTCTGCAGAATCTGCAAGTGGAGATTTGGACCTCTTTGAGGCCTATCGTAGTAAAGGAAAGAACTTCATCTAAAAACAAGACAGAAGCATTCTCAGAAAATTCTTTGTGATGATTGAGTTTAACTCACAGAGCTGAGCATATCTTTTGATGGATACGGGAGAAAACTCACCTATATAAACAGAAGCATTCTCAGAACCTTCTTCGTGATGCTTGCATTCAACTCACAGTGTTCATCCTTTCTCTGATAGTTCAGGTTTTAAACACTCCTTCTGCAGAATCTGCAAGTGGAGATTTGGACCTCTTTGAGGCCTATCGTAGTAAAGGATATAACCTCATCTAAAAACAAGACAGAAGCATTCTCAGAAAATTCTTTGTGATGATTGAGTTTAACACACAGAGCTGAGCATATCTTTTGATGGAGCATTTTGAAAACACACTTTTTGTAGAATATCCAAGTGGATATTTGGACTTCTCTGAGAATTTCGTGGGAAACGGGATAAACCTCACATAACTGAAGAGAAACATTCTCAGAACTTCTTTGTGATGTTGGCATTCAACTGACAGAGTTGAACCTTCCCTTGTGAGTTCAGGTTTAATCGCTCTTTTCGTAGTATCTGCAAGTGGAGATTTGGAACCCTTTGAGGCCTACGGTAGTAAAGGAAACAGCTTCATGTAAAAACTGGACAGAAGCATTCTCAGAAAATACTTTGGGATGATTGAGTTTAACTCACAGAGCTGAACATTCCTTTTGGTGGAGCAGTTTTGAAACACACTTTTTGTAGACTCTGCAGGTGGATATTTGGACCTCTCTGACGATTTCGTTGGAAACGGGATAACGTCACCTAACTAAACAGAAGCTTTCGCAGAAAAATCTTTCTGACGTTTGCATTCAAAGTCCAGAGTTGAGCCTTCCTTTGGTAGTTCACGTTTGAAACACTCTTTTTGGAGGACCTGCAAGTGGATATTTGGAGCACTTTGTGGCCTTCGTTCGAAACGGCTGTATCTTCACATAAAATCTAGACAGAAGCCTTCTCAGAAACTTCTCTGTGATGATTGCATGCAACTCACAGAGTTGAACATTCCTTTTGATAGAGCAATTTTGAAACTCTCTTTTGCTAGCATCTGCAAATGGATAGGTGGAACTCTGTGAAGACTTCTTTGGAAACGGGAATATCCTCACGTAAAAAGTAAACAGAAGCATTCTCAGAAACTCCTTTGTGGGGCTTGTGTTCAACTCCCAGAGTATAACATTGCTTTTCATAGAGCAGTTTTGAAACATTCTTTCGTAGAGCATCCAGGTGGACATTTGGAATGCTTTCAGGCCTGTGTTGGAAAAGGAAATATCTTCACATAAAAACTAGAGAGAAGCATTGTCAGAAACCTCTTGGTGATGATTGCATTCAACTCACGGAGCTGAGGATTCCTTTTGATGCAGCTGTTTGGAAACACTCTTTCGGTGGAATCTGCAAGCGGATATGTGGACCTCTTTGAACATTTCGATGGAAAAGGGATAATCTTCCCGTAAAAGCTAAACGGAAGCATGCTCTGGAACTTCTTTGTGAAGTTTGCATTCAACTCACAGAGTTGTACTTTCCTTTTGATAGAGCAGCTTTGAAACCCTCTCTTTCTAGCATCTGCAAGGGGACATTTGGAGGGCTTCGAGGCCTGGGGTGGAAAAGGAAATATCTTCTCATCAAAGCTACATGGAAGCATTCTCAGAAACTGCTTTGTGATGATTGCATTCAAGTCACCGAGTTGAACATTCCCTTTGATGGAGCCGTTTGGAAACACACTTTTGGTAGAATCTGAAAGGGGAGATTTGGACCGCTTTGAGGCCTATGGCAGTAGAGGATATAACTGCACATAAAAAGGAGACAGGAGCATTCCCAGGAAACACTTTGTGACGATTGAGTTCAATTCACAGAGCTGAACATTCCTTTGGATGGAGCAGTTTCAAAACACACTTTTTGTAGAATCTGCAAGTGGAGATTTGGACCGCTCTGAGGATTTCATTGGATACGGGAGAAAACTCACCTATGTAAACAGAAGCATTCTCAGAACCTTCTTCGTGATGCTTGCATTCAACTCACAGTGTTGAACCTTTCTCTGATAGTTCAGGTTTGAAACACTCCTTCTGCAGAATCTGCAAGTGG
Source organism: Homo sapiens (assembly GCF_000001405.40). Taxonomy (NCBI): domain Eukaryota; kingdom Metazoa; phylum Chordata; class Mammalia; order Primates; family Hominidae; genus Homo; species Homo sapiens. Next base: position 121,830,764 of record NC_000001.11, on the reverse strand, counting down.
AGATTTGGACCTCTTTGAGGCCTATCGTAGTAAAGGAAAGAACTTCATCTAAAAACAAGACAGAAGTATTCTCAGAAAATTCTTTGTGATGATTGAGTTTAACTCACAGAGCTGAGCATATCTTTTGATGGATACGGGAGAAAACTCACGTATGTAAACAGAAGCATTCTCAGAACCTTCTTCCTGATGCTTGCATTCAACTCACAGTGTTGAACCTTTCTCTGATAGTTCAGGTTTTAAACACTCCTTCTGCAGAATCTGCAAGTCGAGATTTGGACCTCTTTGAGGCCTATCGTAGTAAATGAAAGAACTTCATCTAAAAACAAGACAGAAGCATTCTCAGAAAATTCTTTGTGATGATTGGGTTTAACTCACAGAGCTGAGCATATCTTTTGATGGATACGGGAGAAAACACACCTATGTAAACAGAAGCATTCTCAGAACCTTCTTCGTGATGCTTGCATTCAACTCACAGTGTTGAACCTTTCTCTGATAGTTCAGGTTTTAAACACTCCTTCTGCAGAATCTGCAAGTGGAGATTTGGACCTCTTTGAGGCCTATCGTAGTAAAGGAAAGAACTTCATCTAAAAACAAGACAGAAGCATTCTCAGAAAATTCTTTGTGATGATTGAGTTTAACTCACACAGCTGAGCATATCTTTTGATGGATACGGGAGAAAACTCACCTATATAAACAGAAGCATTCTCAGAACCTTCTTCGTGATGCTTGCATTCAACTCACAGTGTTCAACCTTTCTCTGATAGTTCAGGTTTTAAACACTCCTTCTGCAGAATCTGCAAGTGGAGATTTGGACCTCTTTGAGGCCTATCGTAGTAAAGGATATAACCTCATCTAAAAACAAGACAGAAGCATTCTCAGAAAATTCTTTGTGATGATTGAGTTTAACACACAGAGCTGAGCATATCTTTTGATGGAGCATTTTCAAAACACACTTTTTGTAGAATATGCAAGTGGATATTTGGACTTCCCTGAGAATTTCGTGGGAAACGGGATAAACCTCACATAACTGAAGAGAAACATTCTCAGAACTTCTTTGTGATGTTGGCATTCAACTGATAGAGTTGAACCTTCCCTTGTGAGTTCAGGTTGAATCGCTCTTTTCGTAGTATCTGCAAGTGGAGATTTGGAACGCTTTGAGGCCTACGGTAGTAAGGAACAGCTCATGTAAACTGGACAGAGAATCTCAGAAATACTTTGGATGATGAGTTACTCACGACTGACATTCTTT
>NC_000001.11:121826594-121829415 GCF_000001405.40 Homo sapiens | reverse complement strand
CAAGTGGAATTTGGACTTTTTTGGAATTTGTGGGAAACGGATTAACTTCCCTTAATGGAGGGGAACATTTTCAGAATTTCTGGGAGGTTGGCATTCAATGACAGAGTTGAACCTCCCCTGGGAGTTCAGGGTTAATTGCTCTTTTCGTAGTATCTGCAAGGGAAGATTGGAACCCTTTGAGGGCTACGGTAGTAAAGGAAACAGCTTCAGTAAAAACTGGACAGAAGCATTCTCAGAAAATACTTGGGGATGATTGAGTTTAACTCACAGAGCTGAACATTCCTTTTGGTGGAGCAGTTTTGAAACACACTTTTTGTAGACTCTGCAGGTGGATATTTGGACCTCTCTGACGATTTCGTTGGAAACGGGATAACGTCACCTAACTAAACAGAAGCTTTCGCAGAAAAATCTTTCTGACGTTTGCATTCAAAGTCCAGAGTTGAGCCTTCCTTTGGTAGTTCACGTTTGAAACACTCTTTTTGGAGGACCTGCAAGTGGATATTTGGAGCACTTTGTGGCCTTCGTTCGAAACGGCTGTATCTTCACATAAAATCTAGACAGAAGCCTTCTCAGAAACTTCTCTGTGATGATTGCATGCAACTCACAGAGTTGAACATTCCTTTTGATAGAGCAATTTTGAAACTCTCTTTTGCTAGCATCTGCAAATGGATAGGTGGAACTCTGTGAAGACTTCTTTGGAAACGGGAATATCCTCACGTAAAAAGTAAACAGAAGCATTCTCAGAAACTCCTTTGTGGGGCTTGTGTTCAACTCCCAGAGTATAACATTGCTTTTCATAGAGCAGTTTTGAAACATTCTTTTCGTAGAGCATCCAGGTGGACATTTGGAGGGCTTTCAGGCCTGTGTTGGAAAAGGAAATATCTTCACATAAAAACTAGAGAGAAGCATTGTCAGAAACCTCTTGGTGATGATTGCATTCAACTCACGGAGCTGAGGATTCCTTTTGATGCAGCTGTTTGGAAACACTCTTTCGGTGGAATCTGCAAGCGGATATGTGGACCTCTTTGAACATTTCGATGGAAAAGGGATAATCTTCCCGTAAAAGCTAAACGGAAGCATGCTCAGGAACTTCTTTGTGAAGTTTGCATTCAACTCACAGAGTTGTACTTTCCTTTTGATAGAGCAGCTTTGAAACCCTCTCTTTCTAGCATCTGCAAGGGGACATTTGGAGGGCTTCGAGGCCTGGGGTGGAAAAGGAAATATCTTCTCATCAAAGCTACATGGAAGCATTCTCAGAAACTGCTTTGTGATGATTGCATTCAAGTCACCGAGTTGAACATTCCCTTTGATGGAGCCGTTTGGAAACACACTTTTGGTAGAATCTGAAAGGGGAGATTTGGACCGCTTTGAGGCCTATGGCAGTAGAGGATATAACTGCACATAAAAAGGAGACAGGAGCATTCCCAGGAAACACTTTGTGACGATTGAGTTCAATTCACAGAGCTGAACATTCCTTTGGATGGAGCAGTTTCAAAACACACTTTTTGTAGAATCTGCAAGTGGAGATTTGGACCGCTCTGAGGATTTCATTGGATACGGGAGAAAACTCACCTATGTAAACAGAAGCATTCTCAGAACCTTCTTCGTGATGCTTGCATTCAACTCACAGTGTTGAACCTTTCTCTGATAGTTCAGGTTTGAAACACTCCTTCTGCAGAATCTGCAAGTGGAGATTTGGACCTCTTTGAGGCCTATCGTAGTAAAGGAAAGAACTTCATCTAAAAACAAGACAGAAGTATTCTCAGAAAATTCTTTGTGATGATTGAGTTTAACTCACAGAGCTGAGCATATCTTTTGATGGATACGGGAGAAAACTCACGTATGTAAACAGAAGCATTCTCAGAACCTTCTTCCTGATGCTTGCATTCAACTCACAGTGTTGAACCTTTCTCTGATAGTTCAGGTTTTAAACACTCCTTCTGCAGAATCTGCAAGTGGAGATTTGGACCTCTTTGAGGCCTATCGTAGTAAATGAAAGAACTTCATCTAAAAACAAGACAGAAGCATTCTCAGAAAATTCTTTGTGATGATTGGGTTTAACTCACAGAGCTGAGCATATCTTTTGATGGATACGGGAGAAAACACACCTATGTAAACAGAAGCATTCTCAGAACCTTCTTCGTGATGCTTGCATTCAACTCACAGTGTTGAACCTTTCTCTGATAGTTCAGGTTTTAAACACTCCTTCTGCAGAATCTGCAAGTGGAGATTTGGACCTCTTTGAGGCCTATCGTAGTAAAGGAAAGAACTTCATCTAAAAACAAGACAGAAGCATTCTCAGAAAATTCTTTGTGATGATTGAGTTTAACTCACACAGCTGAGCATATCTTTTGATGGATACGGGAGAAAACTCACCTATATAAACAGAAGCATTCTCAGAACCTTCTTCGTGATGCTTGCATTCAACTCACAGTGTTCAACCTTTCTCTGATAGTTCAGGTTTTAAACACTCCTTCTGCAGAATCTGCAAGTGGAGATTTGGACCTCTTTGAGGCCTATCGTAGTAAAGGATATAACCTCATCTAAAAACAAGACAGAAGCATTCTCAGAAAATTCTTTGTGATGATTGAGTTTAACACACAGAGCTGAGCATATCTTTTGATGGAGCATTTTCAAAACACACTTTTTGTAGAATATGCAAGTGGATATTTGGACTTCCCTGAGAATTTCGTGGGAAACGGGATAAACCTCACATAACTGAAGAGAAACATTCTCAGAACTTCTTTGTGATGTTGGCATTCAACTGATAGAGTTGAACCTTCCCTTGTGAGTTCAGGTTGAATCGCTCTTTTCGTAGTAT
>NC_000001.11:121823618-121826494 GCF_000001405.40 Homo sapiens | reverse complement strand
ACGCTCTTTTCNACTATCTCCAGTGGAGATTTGGAACGCTTTGAGGCATACGGTAGTAAAGGAAACAGCTTCATGTAAAAACTGGACAGAAGCATTCTCAGAAAATACTTTGGGATGATTGAGTTCAACTCACAGAGCTGAACATTCCTTTGGGTGGAGGAGTTTTGAAACACACTTTTTGTAGACTCTGCAGGTGGATATTTGGACCTCTCTGAGGATTTCGTTGGAAACGGGATAACGTCACCTAACTAAACAGAAGCTTTCGCAGAAACATCTTTCTGACGTTGGCCTTCAAAGTCCAGAGTTGAGCCTTCCTTTGGTAGTTCACGTTTGAAACACTCTTTTTGGAGGACCTGCAAGTGGATATTTTGAGCACTTTGTGGCCTTCGTTCGAAACGACTGTATCTTCACATAAAATCTAGACAGAAGCCTTCTCAGAAACTTCTCTGTGATGATTGCATGCAACTCACAGAGTTGAACATTCCTTTTGATAGAGCAGTTTTGAAACTGTCTTTTGCTAGCATCTGCAAATGGATAGGTGGAACTCTGTGAAGACTTCTTTGGAAACGGGAATATCCTCACGTAAAAAGTAAACAGAAGCATTCTCAGAAACTCCTTTGTGGGGCTTGTGTTCAACTCCCAGAGTATAACATTGCTTTTCATAGAGCAGTTTTGAAACATTCTTTTCGTAGAGCCCCCAAGTGGACATTTGGAGGGCTTTCAGGCCTGTGGTGGAAAAGGAAATATCTTCACATAAAAACTAGAGAGAAGCATTGTCAGAAACTTCTTGGTGATGATTGCATTCAACTCACGGAGTTGAGGATTCCTTTTGATACAGCAGTTTGGAAACACTCTTTCGGTGAAATCTGCAAGCGGATATGTGGACCTCTTTGAACATTTCGATGGAAAAGGGATAATCTTCCCATAAAAGCTAAACGGAAGCATGCTCAGGAACTTGTTTGTGATGTTTGCATTCAACTCACAGAGTTGTACTTTCCTTTTGATAGAGTAGCTTTGAAACCCTCTCTTTCTAGCATCTGCAAGGGGACATTTGGAGGGCTTCGAGGCCTGGGGTGGAAAAGGAAATATCTTCTCATCAAAGCTACATGGAAGCATTCTCAGAAACTGGTTTGTGATGATTGCATTCAAGTCACCGAGTTGAACATTCCCTTTGATGGAGCCGTTTGGAAACACACTTTTGGTAGAATCTGAAAGGGGAGATTTGGACCGCTTTGAGGCCTATGGCAGTAGAGGATATAACTGCACATAAAAAGGAGACAGGAGCATTCCCAGGAAACACTTTGTGACGATTGAGTTCAATTCACAGAGCTGAACATTCCTTTGGATGGAGCAGTTTCAAAACACACTTTTTGTAGAATCTGCAAGTGGAGATTTGGACCGCTCTGAGGATTTCATTGGATACGGGAGAAAACTCACCTACGTAAACAGAAGCATTCTCAGAACCTTCTTCGTGATGCTTGCATTCAACTCACAGTGTTGAACCTTTCTCTGATAGTTCAGGTTTGAAACACTCCTTCTGCAGAATCTGCAAGTGGAGATTTGGACCTCTTTGAGGCCTATCGTAGTAAAGGAAAGAACTTCATCTAAAAACAAGACAGAAGCATTCTCAGAAAATTCTTTGTGATGATTGAGTTTAACTCACAGAGCTGAGCATATCTTTTGATGGATACGGGAGAAAACTCACCTATATAAACAGAAGCATTCTCAGAACCTTCTTCGTGATGCTTGCATTCAACTCACAGTGTTCATCCTTTCTCTGATAGTTCAGGTTTTAAACACTCCTTCTGCAGAATCTGCAAGTGGAGATTTGGACCTCTTTGAGGCCTATCGTAGTAAAGGATATAACCTCATCTAAAAACAAGACAGAAGCATTCTCAGAAAATTCTTTGTGATGATTGAGTTTAACACACAGAGCTGAGCATATCTTTTGATGGAGCATTTTGAAAACACACTTTTTGTAGAATATCCAAGTGGATATTTGGACTTCTCTGAGAATTTCGTGGGAAACGGGATAAACCTCACATAACTGAAGAGAAACATTCTCAGAACTTCTTTGTGATGTTGGCATTCAACTGACAGAGTTGAACCTTCCCTTGTGAGTTCAGGTTTAATCGCTCTTTTCGTAGTATCTGCAAGTGGAGATTTGGAACCCTTTGAGGCCTACGGTAGTAAAGGAAACAGCTTCATGTAAAAACTGGACAGAAGCATTCTCAGAAAATACTTTGGGATGATTGAGTTTAACTCACAGAGCTGAACATTCCTTTTGGTGGAGCAGTTTTGAAACACACTTTTTGTAGACTCTGCAGGTGGATATTTGGACCTCTCTGACGATTTCGTTGGAAACGGGATAACGTCACCTAACTAAACAGAAGCTTTCGCAGAAAAATCTTTCTGACGTTTGCATTCAAAGTCCAGAGTTGAGCCTTCCTTTGGTAGTTCACGTTTGAAACACTCTTTTTGGAGGACCTGCAAGTGGATATTTGGAGCACTTTGTGGCCTTCGTTCGAAACGGCTGTATCTTCACATAAAATCTAGACAGAAGCCTTCTCAGAAACTTCTCTGTGATGATTGCATGCAACTCACAGAGTTGAACATTCCTTTTGATAGAGCAATTTTGAAACTCTCTTTTGCTAGCATCTGCAAATGGATAGGTGGAACTCTGTGAAGACTTCTTTGGAAACGGGAATATCCTCACGTAAAAAGTAAACAGAAGCATTCTCAGAAACTCCTTTGTGGGGCTTGTGTTCAACTCCCAGAGTATAACATTGCTTTTCATAGAGCAGTTTTGAAACATTCTTTCGTAGAGCATCCAGGTGGACATTTGGAATGCTTTCAGGCTCTGTGTGAAAAGGAAA
>NC_000001.11:121815731-121823518 GCF_000001405.40 Homo sapiens | reverse complement strand
CCAATATCCACTTGCAGGTCCTCCAAAAAGAGTGTTTCAAACGTGAACTACCAAAGGAAGGCTCAACTCTGGAGTTTGAATGCCAACGTCAGAAGGATGTTTCTGCGAAAGCTTCTGTTTAGTTAGGTGACGTTATCCCGTTTCCAACGAAATCCTCAGAGAGGTCCAAATATCCACCTGCAGAGTCTACAAAAAGTGTGTTTCAAAACTGCTCCACCCAAAGGAATGTTCAGCTCTGTGAGTTGAACTCAATCATCCCAAAGTATTTTCTGAGAATGCTTCTGTCCAGTTTTTACATGAAGCTTTTTCCTTTACTACCGTAGGCCTCAAAGCGTTCCAAACCTCCAATTGCAGATACTACGAAAAGAGAGTTTCAACCTGAACTCACAAGGGAAGGTTCAACTCTGCCAGTTGAATGCCAACATCACCAAGAACTTCTGAGAATGTTCCTCTTCAGTTACGTGAGGTTTATCCCGTTTCCAACGAAATTCTCAGAGAAGTCCCAAAATCCACTTGCATATTCCACAAAAGGTGTGTTTTGAAAATGCGCCATCAAAAGATATGCTCAGCTCTGTGAGTTAAACTCAATCATCGCAAAGAATTTTCTGAGAATGCCTCCGTCTTGTTTTTAGACGAAGTTCTTTCCTTTACTACGATAGGCCTCAAGGAGGTCCAAATCTCCACTTGCAGATTCTGCAGAAGGAGTGTTTCAAACCTGAACTGTCAGAGAAAGGTTCAACACTGTGAGTTGAATGCAAGCATCACGAAGAAGGTTCTGAGAATGCTTCTGTTTACGTAGGTGACTTTTCTCCCGTATCCAACGAAATCCTCAGAGCGGTCCAAATCTCCACTTGCAGATTCTACACAAAGTGTGTTTGGAAACTACTCCACCCAAAGGAATGTTCAGCTCTGTGAGTTGAACTCAATCGTCACAAAGCGTTTCCCGGGAATGCTCCTGTCTCGCTTTCATGTGCAGTTATATCCTCTACTGCCATAGGCCTCAAAGCGGTCCAAATCTCCCCTTTCAGATTCTACCAAAAGTGTGTTTCCAAACGGCCCCATCAAAGGGGATGTTCAACTCGGTGACTTGAATGCAATCATCAGAAAGCAGGTTCTGAGAATGCTTCCATGTAGGTTTGATGAGAAGATACTTCCTTTTCCACCCCAGGCCTCGAAGCCCTCCAAATGTCCCCTTGCAGATGCTAGAAAGAGGGGGTTTCAAAGCTGCTCTATCAAAAGGAAAGTAGAACTCTGTGAGTTGAATGCAAACATCACAAGGAAGTTCCTGAGCATGCTTCCGTTTAGCTTTTACGGGAAGATTATCCCTTTTCCATCGAAATGTTCAAAGAGGTCCACATATCTGCTTGCAGATTCCACCGATAGAGTGTTTCCAAACTGCTGCATCAAAAGGAATCCTCAGCTCCGTGAGTTGAATGCAATCATCACCAAGAAGTTTCTGACAATGCTTCTCTCTAGTTTTTATGTGAAGATATTTCCTTTTCCACCGCAGGCCTGAAAGCGCTCCAAATGTCCACTTGGAGGTCACCAAAAGAATTTTTCAAACTGGCTCTATGGAAAGCAATGTTATACTCTGGGAGTTGAACACAAGCCTCACAAAGGAGTTTCTGAGAATGCTTCTGTTTACTTTTTACGTGAGGATATTCCCGTTTCCAAAGAAGTCTTCACAGAGTTCCACCTATACATTTGCAGATGCTAGCAAAAGAGAGTTTCAAAACTGCTCCATCAAAAGGAATGTTTAACTCTGTGAGTTGCATGCAATCATCACAGAGAAGTTTCTGAGAAGGCTTCTGTCTAGATTTTATGTGAAGATATGGCCGTTTCGAACGAAGGCCACAAAGTGCTCCCAATATCCACTTGCAGGTCCTCCAAAAAGAGTGTTTCAAACGTGAACTACCAAAGGAAGGCTCAACTCTGGACTTTGAATGCCAACGTCAGAAGGATGTTTCTGCGAAAACTTCTGTTTAGTTAGGTGACGTTATCCCGTCTCCAACGAAATCCTCAGAGAGGTCCAAATATCCACCTGCAGAGTCTACAAACAGTGTGTTTCAAAACTGCTCCACCCAAAGGAATGTTCAGCTCTGTGAGTTGAACTCAATCATCCCAAAGTATTTTCTCAGAATTCTTCTGTCCAGTTTTTACATGAAGCTGTTCCCTTTACTACCGTAGGCCTCAAAGCGTTCCAAACCTCCACTTGCAGATACTACGAAAAGAGCGTTTCAACCTGAACTCACAAGGGAAGGTTCAACTCTGTCAGTTGAATGCCAACATCACCAAGAAGTTCTGAGAATGTTCCTCTTCAGTTATGTGAGGTTTATCCCGTTTCCAACGAAATTCTCAGAGAAGTCCCAAAATCCACTGGCATATTCCACAAAAGGTGTGTTTGGAAATTGCGCCATCAAAAGATATGCTCAGCTCTGTGAGTTAAACTCAATCATCGCAAAGTATTTTCTGAGAATGCTTCAGTCTTGTTTTTAGATGAAGTTCTTTCCTTTACTACGATAGGCCTCAAAGAGGTCCAAATCTCCACTAGCAGATTTTGCAGAAGGAGTGTTTCAAACCTGAACTGTCAGAGAAAGGTTCAACACTGTGAGTTGAATGCAAGCATCACGAAGAAGGTTCTGAGAATGCTTCTGTTTACGTAGGTGACTTTTCTCCCGTATCCAATGAAATCCTCAGAGCGGTCCAAATCTCCACTTGAAGATTCTACACAAAGTGTGTTTGGAAACTGCTCCACCCAAAGGAATGTTCAGCTCTGTGAGTTGAACTCAATCGTCACAAAGCGTTTCCTGGGAATGCTCCTGTCTCGCTTTTATGTGCGGTTATATCCTCTACTGCCATAGGCCTCAAAGCGGTCCAAATCTCCCCTTTCAGATTCTACCAAAGGTGTGTTTCCAAACGGCCCCATCAAAGGGGATGTTCAACTCGGTGACTTGAATGCAATCATCACAAAGCAGCTTCTGAGAATGCTTCCATGTAGCTTTGATGAGAAGATATTTCCTTTTCCACCCCAGGCCTCGAAGCCCTCCAAATGTCCCCTTGCAGATGCTAGAAAGAGGGGGTTTCAAAGCTGCTCTATGAAAAGGAAAGTACAACTCTGTGAGTTGAATGCAAACATCACAAGGAAGTTCCTGAGCATGCTTCCGTTTAGTTTTTACGGGAAGATTATCCCTTTTCCATCGAAATGTTCAAAGAGGTCCACATATCCGCTTGCAGATTCCACCGAAAGGGTGTTTCCAAACTGCTGCATCCAAACGAATCCTCAGCTCCGTGAGTTGAAGGCAATCATCACCAAGAAGTTTCTGACAATGCTTCTCTCTAGCTTTTATGTGAAGATATTTCCTTTTCCACCGCAGGCCTGAAAGCGCTCCAAATGTCCACTTGGAGGCTCTACGAAAAGAATGTTTCAAAACTGCTCTATGAAAAGCAATGTTATACTCTGGCAGTTGAACACAAGCCTCACAAAGGAGTTTCTGAGAATGCTTCTGTTTACTTTTTACGTGAGGATATTCCCGTTTCCAAAGAAGTCTTCACAGAGTTCCACCTATCCATTTGCAGATGCTAGCAAAAGAGAGTTTCAAAACTGCTCCATCAAAAGGAATGTTCAACTCTGTGAGTTGCATGCAATCATCACAGAGAAGTTTCTGAGAAGACTTCTGTCTAGATTTTACGTGAAGATATAGCCGTTTCGAACGAAGGCCACAAAGTGCTCCAAATATCCACTTGCAGGTCCTCCAAAAAGAGTGTTTCAAACGTGACTACCAAAAGGAAGGCTCAACTCTGGACTTTGAATGCCAACGTCAGAAGGATGTTTCTGCGAAAGCTTCTGTTTAGTTAGGTGACGTTATCCCGTTTCCAACGAAATCCTCAGAGAGGTCCAAATATCCACCTGCAGAGTCTACAAAAAGTGTGTTTCAAAACTGCTCCACCCAAAGGAATGTTCAGCTCTGTGAGTTGAACTCAATCATCCCAAAGTATTTTCTGAGAATGGTTCTGTCCAGTTTTTACATGAAGCTGTTTCCTTTACTACCGTAGGCCTCAAAGCGTTCCAAACCTCCACTTGCAGATACTACAAAAAGAGCGTTTCAACCTGAACTCACAAGGGAAGGTTCAACTCTGTCAGTTGAATGCCAACATCACCAAGAACTTCTGAGAATGTTCCTCTTAAGTTATGTGAGGTTTATCCCGTTTCCCACGAAATTCTCAGAGAAGTCCCAAAATCCACTTGCATATTCCACAAAAGGTGTGTTTGGAAAATGCGCCATCAAAAGATATGCTCAGCTCTATGAGTTAAACTCAAGCATCGCAAAGAATTTTCTGAGAATGCTTCCGTCTTGTTTTTAGATGAAGTTATTTCCTTTACTACGATAGGCCTCAAAGAGGTCCAAACCTCCACTTGCAGATTCTGCAGAAGGAGTGTTTCAAACCTGAACTGTCAGAGAAAGGTTCAACACTGTGAGTTGAATGCAAGCATCACGAAGAAGGTTCTGAGAATGCTTCTGTTTACGTAGGTGACTTTTCTGCCGTATCCAGCGAAATCATCAGAGCGGTCCAAATCTCCACTTGCAGATTCTACACAAAGTGTGTTTGCAAACTGCTCCACCCAAAGGAATGTTCAGCTCTGTGAGTTGAACTCAATGGTCACAAAGCGTTTCCTGGGAATTCTCCTGTCTCGCTTTTATGTGCAGTTATATCCTCTACTGCCATAGGCCTCAAAGCGGTCCAAATCTCCCCTTTCAGATTCTACCAAAGGTGTGTTTCCAAACGGCTCCATCAAAGGGGATGTTCTACTCGGTGACTTGAATGCAATCATCACAAAGCAGCTTCTGAGAATGCTTCCATGTAGCTTTGATGAGAAGATATTTCCTTTTCCACCCCAGGCCTCGAAGCCGTCCAAATGTCCCCTTGCCGATGCTAGAAAGAGGGGGTTTCAAAGCTGCTCTATCAAACGGAAAGTACAACTCTGTGAGTTGAATGCAAACATCACAAGGAAGTTCCTGAGCATGCTTCCGTTTAGCTTTTACGGGAAGATTATCCCTTTTCCATCGAAATGTTCAAAGAGGTCCACATATCCGCTTGCAGATTCCACCGAAAGAGTGTTTCCAAACTGCTGCATCCAAAGGAATCCTCAGCTCCGTGAGTTGAAGGCAATCATCACCAAGAAGTTTCTGACAATGCTTCTCTCTAGCTTTTATGTGAAGATATTTCCTTTTCCACCGCAGGCCTGAAAGCGCTCCAAATGTCCACTTGGAGGCTCTACGAAAAGAATGTTTCAAAACTGCTCTATGAGAAGCAATGTTATACTCTGGGAGTTGAACACAAGCCTCACAAAGGAGTTTCTGAGAATGCTTCTGTTTACTTTTTACGTGAGGATATTCCCGTTTCCAAAGAAGTCTTCACAGAGTTCCACCTATCCATTTGCAGATGCTAGCAAAAGAGAGTTTCAAAACTGCTCCATCAAAACGAATGTTCAACTTTGTGAGTTGCATGCAATCATCACAGAGAAGTTTCTGAGAAGGCTTCTGTCTAGATTTTACGTGAAGATATAGCCGTTTCGAACGAAGGCCACAAAGTGCTCCAAATATCCACTTGCAGGTCCTCCAAAAAGAGTGTTTCAAACGTGAACTACCAAAGGAAGGCTCAACTCTGGACTTTGAAGGCCAACGTCAGAAGGATGTTTCTGCGAAAGCTTCTGTTTAGTTAGGTGACGTTATCCCGTTTCCAACGAAATCCTCAGAGAGGTCCAAATATCCACCTGCGGAGTCTACAAAAAGTGTGTTTCCAAACTGCTCCACCCAAAGGAATGTTCAGCTCTGTGAGTTGAACTCAATCGTCCCAAAGTATTTTCTGAGAATGCTTCTGTCCAGTTTTTACATGAAGCTGTTTCCTTTACTACCGTAGGCCTCAAAGCGTTCCAAACCTCCACTTGCAGATACTACGAAAAGAGCGTTTCAACCTGAACTCACAAGGGAAGGTTCAACTCTGTCAGTTGAATGCCAACATCACCAAGAAGTTCTGAGAATGTTCTTCTTCAGTTATGTGAGGTTTATCCCGTTTCCAACGAAATTCTCAGAGAAGTCCCAAAATCCACTTGCATATTCCACAAAAGTTGTGTTTGGAAAATGTGCCATCAAAAGATATGCTCAGCTCTGTGAGTTAAACTCAATCATCGCAAAGAATTTTCTGAGAATGCTTCCGTCTTGTTTTTAGATGAAGTTCTTTCCTTTACTACGATAGGCCTCAAAGAGGTCCAAATCTCCACTTGCAGATTCTGCAGAAGGAGTGTTTCAAACCTGAACTGTCAGAGAAAGGTTCAACACTGTGAGTTGAATGCAAGCATCACGAAGAAGGTTCTGAGAATGCTTCTGTTTACGTAGTTGACTTTTCTCCCGTATCCAGCGAAATCCTCAGAGAGGTCCAAATCTCCACTTGCAGATTCTACACAAAGTGTGTTTGGAAACTGCTCCACCCAAAGGAATGATCAGCTCTGTGAGTTGAACTCAATGGTCACAAAGCGTTTCCTGGGAATGCTCCTGTCTCGCTTTTATGTGCGGTTATATCCTCTACTGCCATAGGCCTCAAAGCGGTCCAAATCTCCCCTTTCAGATTCTCCCAGAAGTGTGTTTCCAAACGGCCCCATCAAAGGGGATGTTCAACTCGGTGACTTGAATGCAATCATCACAAAGCAGCTTCTGAGAATGCTTCCATGTAGCTTTGATGAGAAGATATTTTCTTTTCCACCCCAGGCCTCGAAGCCCTCCAAATGTCCCCTTGCCGATGCTAGAAAGAGGGGGTTTCAAAGCTGCTCTATCAAAAGGAAAGTACAACTCTGTGAGTTGAATGCAAACATCACAAGGAAGTTCCTGAGCATGCTTCCGTTTAGCTTTTACGGGAAGATTATCCCTTTTCCATCGAAATGTTCAAAGAGGTCCACATATCCGCTTGCAGATTCCAGCGAAAGAGTGTTTCCAAACTGCTGCATCCAAAGGAATCCTCAGCTCCGTGAGTTGAATGCAATCATCACCAAGAAGTTTCTGACAATGCTTCTCTCTAGCTTTTATGTGAAGATATTTCCTTTTCCACCGCAGGCCTGAAAGCGCTCCAAATGTCCACTTGGAGGCTCTACGAAAAGAATGTTTCAAAACTGCTCTATGAAAAGCAATGTTATACTCTGGGAGTTGAACACAAGACTCACAAAGGAGTATCTGAGAATGCTTCTGTTTACTTTTTACGTGAGGATATTCCCGTTTCCAAAGAAGTCTTCACAGAGTTCCACCTATCCATTTGCAGATGCTAGCAAAAGAGAGTTTCAAAACTGCTCCATCAAAAGGAATGTTCAACTCTGTGAGTTGCATGCAATCATCACAGAGAAGTTTCTGAGAAGGCTTCTGTCTAGATTTTACGTGAAGATATAGCCGTTTCGAACGAAAGGCACAAAGTGCTCCANATATCCACTTGCAGGTCCTCCAAAAAGAGTGTTTCAAACGTGAACTACCAAAGGAAGGCTNCACTCTGGACTTTGAGGNCNACGTCAGAAAGATGTCTCTGCGAAAGCTTCTGTTTTNAGTAGTGACGTTATCCCGTTTCCAACGAAATCCTCAGAAGAGGTCAAATATCAACCCTGCGGAGCCTACAAAAAGTGTGGTTTCCAACTGCTCCACCCAAAGAAATGTCAGCTCTGTGAGTGAACTCATCGTCCCAATATTTTCGAAAAGCTTCGGTCAGTTTTTAATGAGCGGTTTCTTTACACCGTGGCCTCAAGCGTCCAA
>NC_000001.11:121813472-121815631 GCF_000001405.40 Homo sapiens | reverse complement strand
ACACTGCTGAGTTGAATGCAAGCATCACGAAGAAGGTTCTGACAATGCTTCTGTTTACATAGGTGACTTTTCTCCCGTATCCAGCGAAATCCTCAGAGCGGTCCAAATCTCCACTTGCAGATTCTACACAAAGTGTGTTTGGAAACTGCTCCACCCAAAGGAATGTTCAGCTCTGTGAGTTGAACTCAATGGTCACAAAGCGTTTCCTGGGAATGCTCCTGTCTCGCTTTTATGTGCAGTTATATCCTCTACTGCCATAGGCCTCAAAGCGGTCCAAATCTCCCCTTTCAGATTCTACCAGAAGTGTGTTTCCAAATGGCCCCATCAAAGGGGATGTTCAACTCAGTGACTTGAATGCAATCATCACAAAGCAGCTTCTGAGAATGCTTCCATGTAGCTTTGATGAGAAGATATTTCCTTTTCCACCCCAGGCCTCGAAGCCCTCCAAATGTCCCCTTGCCGATGCTAGAAAGAGGGGGTTTCAAAGCTGCTCTATCAAAAGGAAAGTACAACTCTGTGAGTTGAATGCAAACATCACAAGGAAGTTCCTGAGCATGCTTCCGTTTAGCTTTTACGGGAAGATTATCCCTTTTCCATCGAAATGTTCAAAGAGGTCCACATATCCGCTTGCAGATTCCACACAAAGAGTGTTTCCAAACTGCTGCATCCAAAGGAATCCTCAGCTCCGTGAGTTGAAGGCAATCATCACCAAGAAGTTTCTGACAATGCTTCCCTCTAGCTTTTATGTGAAGATATTTCCTTTTCCACCGCAGGCCTGAAAGCGCTCCAAATGTCCACTTGGAGGCTCTACGAAAAGAATGTTTCAAAACTGCTCTATGAAAAGCAATGTTATACTCTGGGAGTTGAACACAAGCCTCAGAAAGGAGTTTCTGAGAATGCTTCTGTTTACTTTTTACTTGAGGATATTCCCGTTTCCAAAGAAGACTTCACAGAGTTCCACCTATCCATTTGCAGATGCTAGCAAAAGAGAGTTTCAAAACTGCTCCATCAAAAGGAATGTTCAACTCTGTGAGTTGCATGCAATCATCACAGAGAAGTTTCTGAGAAGGCTTCTGTCTAGATTTTACGTGAAGAGATAGCCGTTTCGAACGAAGGCCACAAAGTGCTCCAAATATCCACTTGCAGGTCCTCCAAAAAGAGTGTTTCAAACGTGAACTACCAAAGGAAGGCTCAACTCTGGACTTTGAAGGCCAACGTCAGAAGGATGTTTCTGCGAAAGCTTCTGTTTAGTTAGGTGACGTTATCCCGTTTCCAACGAAATCCTCAGAGAGGTCCAAATATCCACCTGCGGAGTCTACAAAAAGTGTGTTTCCAAACTGCTCCACCCAAAGGAATGTTCAGCTCTGTGAGTTGAACTCAATCGTCCCAAAGTATTTTCTGAGAATGCTTCTGTCCAGTTTTTACATGAAGCTGTTTCCTTTACTACCGTAGGCCTCAAAGCGTTCCAAACCTCCACTTGCAGATCCTACGAAAAGAGCGTTTCAACCTGAACTCACAAGGGAAGGTTCAACTCTGTCAGTTGAATGCCAACATCACCAAGAAGTTCTGAGAATGTTCCTCTTCAGTTATGTGAGGTTTATCCCGTTTCCCACGAAATTCTCAGAGAAGTCCCAAAATCCACTTGCATATTCCACAAAAGGTGTGTTTGGAAAATGCCCCATCAAAAGATATGCTCAGCTCTGTGAGTTAAACTCAATCATCGCAAAGAATTTTCTGAGAATGCTTCCGCCTTGTTTTTAGATGAAGTACTTTCCTTTACTACGATAGGCCTCAAAGAGGTCCAAATCTCCACTTGCAGATTCTGCAGAAGGAGTGTTTCAAACCTGAACTGTCAGAGAAAGTTTCAACACTGTGAGTTGAATGCAAGCATCACGAAGAAGGTTCTGAGAATGCTTCTGTTTACGTAGGTGACTTTTCTCCCGTATCCAGCGAAATCCTCAGAGCGGTCCAAATCTCCACTTGCAGATTCTACACAAAGTGTGTTTGGAAACTGCTCCACCCAAAGGAATGTTCAGCTCTGTGAGTTGAACTCAATGGTCACAAAGCGTTTCCTGGGAATGCTCCTGTCTCGCTTTTATGTGCGGTTATATCCTCTACTGCCATAGGCCTCAAAGAGGTCCAAATCTCCCCTTCAGATT
>NC_000001.11:121810301-121813372 GCF_000001405.40 Homo sapiens | reverse complement strand
ATCATCGCAAAGATTTCCGAGATGCTCGGTCTGTTTTTAGAGAAGTCCTTCCTTTACTACGATATCCTCNAAGAGTNCCAAATCTCCATTGGCAGATCTGCAGAGGGAGTGTTCAANCCTGANCAGTCAGAGAAAGGTTCTACACTGTGAGTTGATGCAAGCATCACGAAGAAGGTTCTGAGAATGCTTCTGTTTACGTAGGTGAGTTTCTCCGGTATCCAACGAAATCCTCAGAGCGTCCAAATCTCCACTTGCAGATTCTACACAAGGTGTGTTTGGAAACTGCTCCACCCAAAGGAATGTTCACGTCTGTGAGTGAACTCAATGGTCACAAAGCGTTTCCTGGGAATGCTCCTGTCTCGCTTTTATGTGCAGTTATATCCTCTACTGCCATAGGCCTCAAAGCGGTCCAAATCTCCCCTTTCAGATTCTACCAAAAGTGTGTTTCCAAACGGCTCCATCAAAGGGAATGTTCAACTCTGTGACTTCAATGCAATCATCACAAAGCAGCTTCAGAGAATGCTTCCATGTAGCTTTGATGAGAAGATATTTCCTTTTCCACCCCAGGCCTCGAAGCCCTCCAAATGTCCCCTTGCAGATGCTAGAAAGAGGGGGTTTCAAAGCTGCTCTATCAAAAGGAAAGTACAACTCTGTGAGTTGAATGCAAACATCACAAGGAAGTTCCTGAGCATGCTTCCGTTTAGCTTTTACGGGAAGATTGTCCCTTTTCCATCGAAATGTTCAAAGAGGTCCACATATCCGCTTGCAGATTCCACCGAAAGAGTGTTTCCAAACTGCTGCATCCAAAGGAATCCTCAGCTCCGTGAGTTGAGTGCAATCATCGCCAAGAAGTTTCTGACAATGCGTCTCTCTAGTTTTTATGTGAAGATATTTCCTGTTCCACCACAGGCCTGAAAGCGCTCCAAATGTCCACTTGGAGGCTCTACGAAAAGAATGTTTCTAAACTGCTCTATGAAAAGCAATGTTATACTCTGGGAGTTGAACACAAGCCTCACAAAGGAGTTTCTGAGAATGCTTCTGTTTACTTTTTACGTGAGGATATTCCCGTTTCAAAAGAAGTCTTCACAGAGTTCCACCTATCCATTTGCAGATGCTAGCAAAAGAGAGTTTCAAAACTGCTCTATCAAAAGGAACGTTCAACTCTGTGAGTTGCATGCAATCATCACAGAGAAGTTTCTGAGAAGGCTTCTGTCTAGATTTTATGTGAAGATATAGCCGTTTCGAACGAAGGCCACAAAGTGCTCCAAATATCCACTTGCAGGTCCTCCAGAAAGAGTGTTTCAAACGTGAACTACCAAAGGAAGGCTCAACTCTGGACTTTGAATGCCAACGTCAGAAGGATGTTTCTGCGAAAGCTTCTGTTTAGTTAGGTGACGTTATCCCGTTTCCAACGAAATCCTCAGAGAGGTCCAAATATCCACCTGCTGAGTCTACAAACAGTGTGTTTCAAAACTGCTCCACCCAAAGGAATGTTCAGCTCTGTGAGTTGAACTCAATCATCCCAAAGTATTTTCTGAGAATGCTTCTGTCCAGTTTTTACATGAAGCTGTTTCCTTTACTACCGTAGGCTTCAAAGCGTCCCAAACCTCCACTTGCAGATACTACGAAAAGAGCGTTTCAACCTGAACTCACAAGGGAAGGTTCAACTCTGTCAGTTGAATGCCAACATCACCAAGAATTTCTGAGAATGTTCCTCTTCAGTTATGTGAGGTTTATCCCGATTCCAACGAAATTCTCAGAGAAGTCCCAAAATCCACTTGCATATTCTACAAAAGGTGTGTTTGGAAAATGCGCCATTAAAATATATGCTCAGCTCTGTGAGTTAAACTCAATCATCGCAAAGAATTTTCTGAGAATGCTTCTGTCTTGTTTTTAGATGAAGTTCTTTCCTTTACTACGATAGGCCTCAAAGAGGTCCAAATCTCCACTTGCAGATTCTGCAGAAGGAGTGTTTCAAACCTCAACTGTCAGAGAAAGGTTCAACACTGTGAGTTGAATGCAAGCATCACGAAGAAGGTTCTGAGAATGCTTCTGTTTACGTAGGTGAGTTTTCTCCCGTATCCAACGAAATCCTCAGAGCGGTCCAAATCTCCACTTGCAGATTCTACACAAAGTGTGTTTGGAAACTGCTCCACCCAAAGGAATGTTCAGCTCTGTGAGTTGAACTCAATCGTCACAAAGCGTTTCCTGGGAATGCTCCTGTCTCGCTTTTATGTGCAGTTATATCCTCTACTGCCATAGGCCTCAAAGCGGTCCAAATCTCCCCTTTCAGATTCTACCAAAAGTGTGTTTCCAAACGGCTCCATCAAAGGGAATGTTCAACTCGGTGACTTGAATGCAATCATCACAAAGCAGTTTCTGAGAATGTTTCCATGTAGCTTTGATGAGAAGATATTTCCTTTTCCACCCCAGGCCTCGAAGCCCTCCAAATGTCCCCTGCAGATGCTAGAAAGAGGGGGTTTCAAAGCTGCTCTATCAAAAGGAAAGTACAACTCTGTGAGTTGAATGCAAACATCACAAGGAAGTTCCTGAGCATGCTTCCGTTTAGCTTTTACGGGAATATTATCCCTTTTCCATCGAAATGTTCAAAGAGGTCCACATATCCGCTTGCAGATTCCACCGAAAGAGTGTTTCCAAACTGCTGCATCAAAAGGAATCCTCAGCTCCGTGAGTTGAATGCAATCATCACCAAGAAGTTTCTGACAATGCTTCTCTCTAGTTTTTATGTGAAGATATTTCCTTTTCCACCACTGGCCTGAAAGTGCCCCAAATGTCCACTTGGAGGCTCTACGAAAAGAATGTTTCAAAACTGCTCTATGAAAAGCAATGTTATACTCTGGGAGTTGAACACAGCCTCACAAATGAGTTCTGAGAATGCTTCTGTTTACTTTTTACGTGACGATATTCCCGTTTCCNAAGAAGTCNTCACAGAGTTCCACCTATCCATTTGCAGATGCTAGCAAAACTAGAGAATTTNCAANGTGCTCTATCAAAAGAATGTTCACTCTGTGAGTGCATGAATCATCCAGAAAGTTCTGAGAGGCTCTGTC
>NC_000001.11:121807590-121810201 GCF_000001405.40 Homo sapiens | reverse complement strand
AGCTAAACGGAAGCATGCTCAGGAACTTCCTTGTGATGTTTGCATTCTACTCACAGAGTTGTACTTTCCTTTTGATAGAGCAGCTTTGAAACCCCCTCTTTCTAGCATCGGCAAGGGGACATTTGGAGGGCTTCGAGGCCTGGGGTGGAAAAGGAAATATCTTCTCATCAAAGCTACATGGAAGCATTCTCAGAAGCTGCTTTGTGATGATTGCATTCAAGTCACCGAGTTGAACATCCCCTTTGATGGGGCCGTTTGGAAACACACCATTGGTAGAATCTGAAAGGGGAGATTTGGACCGCTTTGAGGCCTATGGCAGTAGAGGATATAACTGCACATAAAAGCGAGACAGGAGCATTCCCAGGAAACGCTTTGTGACGATTGAGTTCAACTCACAGAGCTCAACATTCGTTTGGGTGGAGCAGTTTCCAAACACACTTTGTGTAGAATCTGCAAGTGGAGATTTGGACCGCTCTGAGGATTTCGTTGGATACGGGAGAAAAGTCACCTACGTAAACAGAAGCATTCTCAGATCCTTCATCGTGATGCTTGCATTCAACTCACAGTGTTGAACCTTTCTCTGACAGTTCAGGTTTGAAACACTCCTTCTGCAGAATCTGCAAGTGGAGATTTGGACCTCCTTGAGGCCTATCGTAGTAAAGGAAAGAACTTCATCTAAAAACAAGACGGAAGCATTCTCAGAAAATTCTTTGCGATGATTGAGTTTAACTCACAGAGCTGAGCATATCTTTTGATGGCGCATTTTCCAAACACACCTTTTGTGGAATATGCAAGTGGATTTTGGGACTTCTCTGAGAATTTCGTTGGAAACGGGATAAACCTCACGTAACTGAAGACGAACATTCTCAGAAGTTCTTGGTGATGTTGGCATTCAACTGACAGAGTTGAACCTTCCCTTGTGAGTTCAGGTTGAAACGCTCTTTTCGTAGTATCTGCAAGTGGAGGTTTGGAACGCTTTGAGGCCTACGGTAGTAAAGGAAACAGCTTCATGTAAACACTGGACAGAAGCATTCTCAGAAAATACTTTGGGATGATTGAGTTCAACTCACAGAGCTGAACATTCCTTTGGGTGGAGCAGTTTTGAAACACACTTTTTGTAGACTCTGCAGGTGGATATTTGGACCTCTCTGAGGATTTCGTTGGAAACGGGATAACGTCACCTAACTAAACAGAAGCTTTCGCAGAAACATCCTTCTGACGTTGGCATTCAAAGTCCAGAGTTGAGCCTTCCTTTGGTAGTTCACGTTTGAAACACTCTTTTTGGAGGACCTGCAAGTGGATATTTGGAGCACTTTGTGGCCTTCGTTCGAAACGGCTATATCTTCACATAAAATCTAGACAGAAGCCTTCTCAGAAACTTCTCTGTAATGATTGCATGCAACTCACAGAGTTGAACATTCCTTTTGATGGAGCAGTTTTGAAACTCTCTTTTGCTAGCATCTGCAAATGGATAGGTGGAACTCTGTGAAGTCTTCTTTGGAAACGGGAATATCCTCACGTAAAAAGTAAACAGAAGCATTCTCAGAAACTCCTTTGTGAGGCTTGTGTTCAACTCCCAGAATATAACATTTCTTTTCATAGAGCAGTTTTGAAACATTCTTTTCGTAGAGCCTCCAAGTGGACATTTGGAGCGCTTTCAGGCCTGCGGTGGAAAAGGAAATATCTTCACATAAAAACTAGAGAGAAGCATTGTCAGAAACTTCTTGGTGATGATTGCATTCAACTCACGGAGCTGAGGATTCCTTTGGATGCAGCAGTTTGGAAACACTCTTTCGGTGGAATCTGCAAGCGGATATGTGGACCTCTTTGAACATTTCGATGGAAAAGGGATAATCTTCCCGTAAAAGCTAAACGGAAGCACGCTCAGGAACTTCCTTGTGATGTTTGCATTCAACTCACAGAGTTGTACTTTCCTTTTGATAGAGCAGCTTTGAAACCCCCTCTTTCTAGCATCTGCAAGGGGACATTTGGGGGGCTTCGAGGCCTGGGGTGGAAAAGGAAATATCTTCTCATCAGAGCTACATGGAAGCATTCTCAGAAGCTGCTTTGTGATGATTGCATTCAAGTCACCGAGTTGAACATCCCCTTTGATGGGGCCGTTTGGAAACACACTTTTGGTAGAATCTGAAAGGGGAGATTTGGACAGCTTTGAGGCCTATGGCAGTAGAGGATATAACTGCACATAAAAGCGAGACAGGAGCATTCCCAGGAACGCTTTGTGACCATTGAGTTTCACTCACAGAGCTGAACATTCCTTTGGGTGGAGCAGTTTCCAAACACACTTTGTGTAGAATCTGCGAGTGGAGATTTGGACCGCTCTGAGGATTCGTGGATACGGGAGAAAAGTCACCTACGTAAACTGAAGCATTCTCAGAACCATCTCGTGAGCTTGCATTCACTCACAGAGTGAACTTTCTCTGACAGTTCAGGTTTGAACACTCCTTCTGCAGATCTGCACTGGAGATTTGGACCTCCTGAAGCCTATCGCAGTAAGGGAAGAACTTTCCTCTAAACAAGAGGTCACATTCTCAGAAATCATTGCGAAGATTGAGTTACCCCAAAGCTAGCATATCTTTGATGCGCTTTTCCA
>NC_000001.11:121804994-121807490 GCF_000001405.40 Homo sapiens | reverse complement strand
CATTCTCAGAAGCTGCTTTGTGATGATTGCATTCACGTCACCGAGTTGAACATCCCCTTTGATGGGGCCAGTTTGGAAACACACGTTTTGGTAGAATCTGAAAGGGGAGATTTGGACCGCTTTGAGACCTATGGCAGTAAAGGATATAACTGCACATAAAAGCGAGACAGGAGCATTCCCAGGAAACGCTTTGTGACCATTGAGTTCAACTCACAGAGCTGAACATTCCTTTGGGTGGAGCAGTTTCCAAACACACTTTGTGTAGAATCTGCAAGTGGAGATTTGGACCGCTCTGAGGATTTCGTTGGATACGGGAGAAAAGTCACCTACGTAAACAGAAGCATTCTCAGAACCTTCTTCGTGATGCTTGCATTCAACTCACAGTGTTGAACCTTTCTCTGACAGTTCAGGTTTGAAACACACCTTCTGCAGAATCTGCAAGTGGAGATTTGGACCTCCTTGAGGCCTATCGTAGTAAAGGAAAGAACTTCATCTAAAAACAAGACGGAAGCATTCTCAGAAAATTCTTTGCAATGATTGAGTTTAACTCACAGAGCTGAGCATATCTTTTGATGGCGCATTTTCCAAACACACCTTTTGTGGAATATGCAAGTGGATTTTGGGACTTCTCTGAGAATTTCGTTGGAAACGGGATAAACCTCACGTAACTGAAGAGGACATTCTCAGAACTTCTTGGTGATGTGGCATTCACTGACAGAGTTGAACCTTCCCTTGTGAGTTCAGGTTGAAACGCTCTTTTCGTAGTATCTGCAAGTGGAGGTTTGGAACGCTTTGAGCCTACGTAGTAAAGGAAACAGCTTCATGTAAAAACTGGACAGAAGCATTCTCAGAAAATACTTTGGGATGATTGAGTTCAACTCACAGAGCTGAACATTCCTTTGGGTGGAGCAGTTTTGAAACACACTTTTTGTAGACTCTGCAGTTGGATATTTGGACCTCTCTGAGGATTTCGTTGGAAACGGGATAACGTCACCTAACTAAACAGAAGCTTTTGCAGAAACATCCTTCTGACGTTGGCCTTCAAAGTCCAGAGTTGAGCCTTCCTTTGGTAGTTCACGTTTGAAACACTCTTTTTGGAGGACCTGCAAGTGGATATTTGGAGCACTTTGTGGCCTTCGTTCGAAACGGCTATATCTTTACATAAAATCTAGACAGAAGCCTTCTCAGAAACTTCTCTGTGATGATTGCATGCAACTCACAGAGTTGAACATTCCTTTTGATGGAGCAGTTTTGAAACTCTCTTTTGCTAGCATCTGCAAATGGATAGGTGGAACTCTGTGAAGACTTCTTTGGAAACGGGAATATCCTCACGTAAAAAGTAAACAGAAGCATTCTCAGAAACTCCTTTGTGAGGCTTGTGTTCAACTCCCAGAGTATAACATTGCTTTTCATAGAGCAGTTTTGAAACATTCTTTTCGTAGAGCCTCCAAGTGGACATTTGGAGCGCTTTCAGGTCTGCGGTGGAAAAGGAAATATCTTCACATAAAAACTAGAGAGAAGCATTGTCAGAAACTTCTTGGTGATGATTGCATTCAACTCACGGAGCTGAGGATTCCTTTGGATGCAGCAGTTTGGAAACACTCTTTCGGTGGAATCTGCAAGCGGATATGTGGACCTCTTTGAACATTTCGATGGAAAAGGGATAATCTTCCCGTAAAAGCTAAACGGAAGCATGCTCAGGAACTTCCTTGTGATGTTTGCATTCAACTCACAGAGTTGTACTTTCCTTCTGATAGAGCAGCTTTGAAACCCCCTCTTTCTAGCATCTGCAAGGGGACATTTGGAGGGCTTCGAGGCCGGGGGTGGAAAAGGAAATATCTTCTCATCAAAGCTACATGGAAGCATTCTCAGAAGCTGCTTTGTGATGATTGCATTCAAGTCACCGAGTTGAACATCCCCTTTGATGGGGCCGTTTGGAAACACACTTTTGGTAGAATCTGAAAGGGGAGATTTGGACCGCTTTGAGACCTATGGCAGTAAAGGATATAACTGCACATAAAAGCGAGACAGGAGCATTCCCAGGAAACGCTTTGTGACCATTGAGTTCAACTCACAGAGCTGAACATTCCTTTGGGTGGAGCAGTTTCCAAACACACTTTGTGTAGAATCTGCAAGTGGAGATTTGGACCGCTCTGAGGATTTCGTTGGATACGGGAGAAAAGTCACCTACGTAAACAGAAGCATTCTCAGAACCTTCTTCGTGATGCTTGCATTCAACTCACAGTGTTGAACCCTTTCTCTGACAGTCCAGGTTTGAAACACTCCTTCTGCAGAATCTGCAAGTGGAGATTTGGACCTCCTTGAGGCCTATCGTAGTAAAGGAAAGAACTTCATCTATAAACAAGACGGAAGCATTCTCAGAAAATCTTTGCCATGATGGAGTTAACTCCCAGGCTGAGCCTATCTTTTGATGCCCATTTTCCAACAACCTTTTGGGAATATGACAGTGGATTTTGGACTTCTCGGAAATTTCGT
>NC_000001.11:121799783-121804894 GCF_000001405.40 Homo sapiens | reverse complement strand
TTNGGTGAGCAGTTTGAACACACTTTGTAGACTCTGCAGTGGATATTGGACTNCTCTGAGGATTTCGTNGNNAACGGGATACNGTCACTACTNNANACAGAAGCTTCNGCAGAAACATCCTTCTGACGTGGCCTTCAAAGTCNCGAGTTGAGCCTTCCTTTGGTAGTTCACGTTTGAAACACTCTTTTTGGAGGACCTGCAAGTGGATATTTGGAGCACTTTGTGGCCTTCGTTCGAAACGGCTATATCTTCACATAAAATCTAGACAGAAGCCTTCTCAGAAACTTCTCTGTGATGATTGCACGCAACTCACAGAGGTGAACATTCCTTTTGATAGAGCAGTTTTGAAACTCTCTAGTTTTGCTGGCATCTGCAAATGGATAGGTGGAACTCTGTGAAGACTTCTTTGGAAACGGGAATATCCCCACGTAAAAAGTAAACAGAAGCATTCTCAGAAACTCCTTTGTGAGGCTTGTGTTCAACTCCCAGAGTATAACATTGCTCTTCATAGAGCAGTTTTGAAACATTCTTTTCGTAGAGCCTCCAAGTGGACATTTGGAGCGCTTTCAGGCCTGCGGTGGAAAAGGAAATATCTTCACATAAAAACTAGAGAGAAGCATTGTCAGAAACTTCTTGGTGATGATTGCATTCAACTCACGGAGCTGAGGATTCCTTTTGATGCAGCAGTTTGGAAACACTCTTTCGGTGGAATCTGCAAGCGGATATGTGGACCTCTTTGACCATTTCGATGGAAAAGGGATAATCTTCCCCTAAAAGCTAAACGGAAGCATGCTCAGGAACTTCCTTGTGATGTTTGCATTCAACTCACAGAGTTGTACTTTCCTTCTGATAGAGCAGCTTTGAAACCCCCTCTTTCTAGCATCTGCAAGGGGACATTTGGAGGGCTTCGAGGCCTGGGGTGGAAAAGGAAATATCTTCTCATCAAAGCTACATGGAAGCATTCTCAGAAGCTGCTTTGTGATGATTGCATTCAAGTCACCGAGTTGAACATCCCCTTTGATGGGGCCGTTTGGAAACACACTTTTGGGAGAATCTGAAAGGGGAGATTTGGACCGCTTTGAGGCCTATGGCAGTAGAGGATATAACTGCACAGAAAAGCGAGACAGGAGCATTCCCAGGAAACGCTTTGTGACCATTGAGTTCAACTCACAGAGCCGAACATTCCTTTGGGTGGAGCAGTTTCCAAACACACTTTGTGTAGAATCTGCAAGTGGAGATTTGGACCGCTCTGAGGATTTCGTTGGATAGGGAGAAAAGTCACCTACGAAAACAGAAGCATTCTCAGAACCTTCTTCGTGATGCTTGCATTCAACTCACAGTGTTGAACTTTTCTCTGACAGTTCAGGTTTGAAACACTCCTTCTGCAGAATCTGCAAGTGGAGATTTGGACCTCTTTGAGGCCTATTGTAGTAAAGGTAAGAACTTCATCTAAAAACAAGACGGAAGCATTCTCAGAAAATTCTTTGTGATGATTGAGTTGAACTCACAGAGCTGAGCATATCTTTTGATGGCGCATTTTCAAAACACACCTTTTGTGGAATATGCAAGTGGTTTTTGGGACTTCTCTGAGAATTTCGTTGGAAACGGGATAAAACTCACATAACTGAAGAGGAACATTCTCAGAAGTTCTTGGTGATGTTGGCATTCAACTGACAGAGTTGAACCTTCCCTTGTGAGTTCAGGTTGAAACGCTCTTTTCGTAGTATCTGCAAGTGGAGGTTTGGAACGCTTTGAGGCCTACGGTAGTAAAGGAAACAGCTTCATGTAAAAACTGGACAGAAGCATTCTCAGAAAATACTTTGGGATGATTGAGTTCAACTCACAGAGCTGAACATTCCTTTGGGTGGAGCAGTTTTGAAACACACTTTTTGTAGACTCTGCAGGTGGATATTTGGACCTCTCTGAGGATTTCGTTGGAGACGGGATAACGTCACCTAACTAAACAGAAGCTTTCGCAGAAACATCCTTCGACGTTGGCATTCAAAGTCCAGAGTTGAGCCTTCCTTTGGTAGTTCACGTTTGAAACACTCTTTTTGGAGGACCTGCAAGTGGATATTGGGAGCACTTTGTGGCCTTCGTTCGAAACGGCCATATCTTCACATAAAATCTAGACAGAAGCCTTCTCAGAAACTTCTCTGTGATGATTGCATGCAACTCACAGAGTTGAAAATTCCTTTTGATGGAGCAGTTTTGAAACTCTCTTTTGCTAGCATCTGCAAATGTATAAGTGGAACTCTGTGAAGACTTCTTTGGAAACGGGAATATCCTCACGTAAAAAGTAAACAGAAGCATTCTCAGAAACTCCTTTGTGAGGCTTGTGTTCAACTCCCAGAGTATAACATTGCTTTTCATAGGGCAGTTTTGAAACATTCTTTTCGTAGAGCCTCCAAGTGAACATTTGGAGCGCTTTCAGGCCTGCGGTGGAAAAGGAAATATCTTCACATAAAAACTAGAGAGAAACATTGTCAGAAACTTCTTGGTGATGATTGCATTCAACTCACGGAGCTGAGGATTCCTTTTGATGCAGCAGTTTGGAAACACTCTTTCGGTGGAATCTGCAAGCGGATATGTGGACCTCTTTGAACATTTTGATGGAAAAGGGATAATCTTCCCGTAAAAGCTAAACGGAAGCATGCTCAGGAACTTCCTTGTGATGTTTGCATTCAACTCACAGAGTTGTACTTTCCTTTTGATAGAGCAGCTTTGAAACCCCCTCTTTCTAGCATCTGCAAGGGGACATTTGGAGGGCTTCGAGGCCTGGGGTGGAAAAGGAAATATCTTCTCATCAAAGCTACATGGAAGCATTCTCAGAAGCTGCTTTGTGATGATTGCATTCAAGTCACCGGGTTGAACATCCCCTTTGATGGGGCCGTTTGGAAACACACTTTTGGTAGAATCTGGAAGGGGAGATTTGGACCGCTTTGAGTCCTATGGCAGTAGAGGATATAACTGCACATAAAAGCGAGACAGGAGCATTCCCAGGAAACGCTTTGTGACGATTGAGTTCAACTCACAGAGCTGAACATTCCTTTGGGTGGAGCAGTTTCCAAACACACTTTGTGTAGAATCTGCAAGTGGAGATTTGGACCGCTCTGAGGATTTCGTTGGATAGGGAGAAAAGTCACCTACGTAAACAGAAGCATTCTCAGAACCTTCTTCGTGATGCTTGCATTCAACTCACAGTGTTGAACTTTTCTCTGACAGTTCAGGTTTGAAACACTCCTTCTGCAGAATCTGCAAGTGGAGATTTGGACCTCCTTGAGGCCTATCGTAGTAAAGGAAAGAACTTCATCTGAAAACAAGACGGAAGCATTCTCAGAAAATTCTTTGCGATGATTGAGTTTAACTCACAGAGCTGAGCATATCTTTTGATGGCGCATTTTCCAAACACACCTTTTGTGGAATATGCAAGTGGATTTTGGGACTTCTCTGAGAATTTCGTTGGAAACGGGATAAACCTCACGTAACTGAAGAGGAACATTCTCAGAAGTTCTTGGTGATGTTGGCATTCAACTGACAGAGTTGAAACTTCCCTTGTGAGTTCAGGTTGAAACGCTCTTTTCGTAGTATCTGCAAGTGGAGGTTTGGAACGCTTTGAGGCCTACGGTAGTAAAGGAAACAGCTTCATGTAAAAACTGGACAGAAGCATTCTCAGAAAATACTTTGGGATGATTGAGTTCAACTCACAGAGCTGAACATTCCTTTGGGTGGAGCAGTTTTGAAACACACTTTTTGTAGACTCTGCAGGTGGATATTTGGACCTCTCTGAGGATTTCGTTGGAAACGGGATAACGTCACCTAACAAAACAGAAGCTTTCGCAGAAACATCCTTCTGACGTTGGCATTCAAAGTCCAGAGTTGAGCCTTCCTTTGGTAGTTTACGTTTGAAACACTCTTTTTGGAGGACCTGCAAGTGGATATTGGGAGCACTTTGTGGCCTTCGTTCGAAACGGCCATATCTTCACATAAAATCTAGACAGAAGCCTTCTCAGAAACTTCTCTGTGATGATTGCATGCAACTCACAGAGTTGAAGATTCCTTTTGATGGAGCAGTTTTGAAACTCTCTTTTGCTAGCATCTGCAAATGGATAGGTGGAACTCTGTGAAGACTTCTTTGGAAACGGGAATATCCTCACGTAAAAAGTAAACAGAAGCATTCTCAGAAACTCCTTTGTGAGGCTTGTGTTCAACTCCCAGAGTATAACATTGCTTTTCATAGAGCAGTTTTGAAACATTCTTTTCGTAGAGCCTCCAAGTGGACATTTGGAGCGCTTTCAGGCCTGCGGTGGAAAAGGAAATATCTTCACATAAAAACTAGAGAGAAGCATTGTCAGAAACTTCTTGGTGATGATTGCATTCAACTCACGGAGCTGAGGATTCCTTTGGATGCAGCAGTTTGGAAACACTCTTTCGGTGGAATCTGCAAGCGGATATGTGGACCTCTTTGAACATTTCGATGGAAAAGGGATAATCTTCCCGTAAAAGCTAAACGGAAGCATGCTCAGGAACTTCCTTGTGATGTTTGCATTCAACTCACAGAGTTGTACTTTCCTTTTGATAGAGCAGCTTTGAAACCCCCTCTTTCTAACATCTGCAAGGGGACATTTGGAGGGCTTCGAGGCCTGGGGTGGAAAAGGAAATATCTTCTCATCAAACCTACATGGAAGCATTCTCAGAAGCTGCTTTGTGATGATTGCATTCAAGTCACCGAGTTGAACATCCCCTTTGATGGGGCCGTTTGGAAACACACTTTTGGTAGAATCTGAAAGGGGAGATTTGGACCGCTTTGAGGCCTATGGCAGTAGAGGATATAACTGCACATAAAATCGAGACAGGAGCATTCCCAGGAAACGCTCTGTGACGATTGAGTTCAACTCACAGAGCTGAACATTCCTTTGGGTGAAGCAGTTTCCAAACACACTTTGTGTAGAATCTGCAAGTGGAGATTTGGACCGCTCTGAGGATTTCGTTGGATACGGGAGAAAAGTCACCTACGTAAACAGAAGCATTCTCAAAACTTAATCGTGATGCTTGCTTTCACTTCACGTGTTGACCTTTCTCTGACAGTCAGGTTGAAACACTCTTTCTGC
>NC_000001.11:121796698-121799683 GCF_000001405.40 Homo sapiens | reverse complement strand
AGCAGTTTTGAACATTCTTTTCGTAGAGCCTCCAAGTGGACATTTGGAGCGCTTTCAGGCCTGCGGTGGAAAAGGAAATATCTTCACATAAAAACTAGAGAGAAGCATTGTCAGAAACTTCTTGGTGATGATTGCATTCAACTCACGGAGCTGAGGATTCCTTTGGATGCAGCAGTTTGGAAACACTCTTTCGGTGGAATCTGCAAGCGGATATGTGGACCTCTTTGAACATTTCGATGGAAAAGGGATAATCTTCCCGTAAAAGCTAAACGGAAGCATGCTCAGGAACTTCCTTGTGATGTTTGCATTCAACTCACAGAGTTGTACTTTCCTTTTGATAGAGCAGCTTTGAAACCCCCTCTTTCTAACATCTGCAAGGGGACATTTGGAGGGCTTCGAGGCCTGGGGTGGAAAAGGAAATATCTTCTCATCAAACCTACATGGAAGCATTCTCAGAAGCTGCTTTGTGATGATTGCATTCAAGTCACCGAGTTGAACATCCCCTTTGATGGGGCCGTTTGGAAACACACTTTTGGTAGAATCTGAAAGGGGAGATTTGGACCGCTTTGAGGCCTATGGCAGTAGAGGATATAACTGCACATAAAATCGAGACAGGAGCATTCCCAGGAAACGCTCTGTGACGATTGAGTTCAACTCACAGAGCTGAACATTCCTTTGGGTGAAGCAGTTTCCAAACACACTTTGTGTAGAATCTGCAAGTGGAGATTTGGACCGCTCTGAGGATTTCGTTGGATACGGGAGAAAAGTCACCTACGTAAACAGAAGCATTCTCAGAACCTTATTCGTGATGCTTGCATTCAACTCACAGTGTTGAACCTTTCTCTGACAGTTCAGGTTTGAAACACTCCTTCTGCAGAATCTGCAAGTGGACATTTGGACCTCCTTGAGGTCTATCGTAGTAAAGGAAAGAACTTCATCTAAAAACACGATGGAAGCATTCTCAGAAAATACTTTGCGATGATTGAGTTTAACTCACAGAGCTGAGCATATCTTTTGATGGCGCATTTTCAAAACACACCTTTTGTGGAATATGCAAGTGGATTTTGGGACTTCTCTGAGAATTTCTTTGGAAACGGGATAAACCTCACGTATCTGAAGAGGAACATTCTCAGAAGTTCTTGGTGATGTTGGCATTCAACTGGCAGACTTGAACCTTCCCTTGTGAGTTCAGGTTGAAACGCTCTTTTCGTAGTATCTGCAAGTGGAGGTTTGGAACGCTTTGAGGCCTACGGTAGTAAAGGAAACAGCTTCATGTAAAAACTGGACAGAAGCATTCTCAGAAAATACTTTGGGATGATTGAGTTCAACTCACAGAGCTGAACATTCCTTTGGGTGGAGCAGTTTTGAAACACACTTTTTGTAGACTTTGCAGGTGGATATTTGGACCTCTCTGAGGATTTCGTTGGAAACGGGATAACGTCACCTAACTAAACAGAAGCTTTCGCAGAAACATCCTTCTGACGTTGGCATTCAAAGTCCAGAGTTGAGCCTTCCTTTGTTAGTTCACGTTTGAAACACTCTTTTTGGAGGACCTGCAAGTGGATATTGGGAGCGCTTTGTGGCCTTCGTTCGAAACGGCCATATCTTCACATAAAATCTAGACAGAAGCCTTCTCAGAAACTTCTCTGTGATGATTGCATGCAACTCACAGAGTTGAACATTCCTTTTGATGGAGCAGTTTTGAAACTCTCTTTTGCTAGCATCTGCAAATGGATAGGTGGAACTCTGTGAAGACTTCTTTGGAAACGGGAATATCCTCACGTAAAAAGTAAACAGAAGCATTCTCAGAAACTCCTTTGTGAGGCTTGTGTTCAACTCCCAGAGTATAACATTGCTTTTCATAGAGCAGTTTTGAAACATTCTTTTCGTAGAGCCTCCAAGTGGACATTTGGAGCGCTTTCAGGCCTGCGGTGGAAAAGGAAATATCTTCACATAAAAACTAGACAGAGGCATTGTCAGAAACTTCTTGGTGATGATTGCATTCAACTCACGGAGCTGAGGATTCCTTTGGATGCAGCAGTTTGGAAACACTCTTTCGGTGGAATCTGCAAGCCGATATGTGGACCTCTTTGAACATTTCGATGGAAAAGGGATAATCTTCCCGTAAAAGCTAAACGGAAGCATGCTCAGGAACTTCCTTGTGATGTTTGCATTCAACTCAGAGAGTTGTACTTTCCTTTTGATAGAGCAGCTTTGAAACCCCCTCTTTCTAGCATCTGCAAGGGGACATTTGGAGGGCTTCGAGGCCTGGGGTGGAAAAGGAAATATCTTCTCATCAAAGCTACATGGAAGCATTCTCAGAAGCTGCTTTGTGAAGATTGCATTCAAGTCACCGAGTTGAACATCCCCTTTGATGGGGCCGTTTGGAAACACACTTTTGGTAGAATCTGAAAGGGGAGATTTGGACCGCTTTGAGGCCTATGGCAGCAGAGGATTTAACTGCACATAAAAGCGAGACAGGAGCATTCCCAGGAAACGCTTTGTGACGATTGAGTTCAACTCACAGAGCTGAACATTCCTTTGGGTGGAGCAGTTTCCAAACACACCTTGTGTAGAATCTGCAAGTGGAGATTTGGACCGCTCTGAGGGTTTCGTTGGATACGGGAGAAAAGTCACATACGTAAACAGAAGCATTCTCAGAACCTTCTTCGTGATGCTTGCATTCAACTCACAGTGTTGAACCTTTCTCTGACAGTTCAGGTTTGAAACACTCCTTCTGTAGAATCTGCAAGTGGAGATTTGGACCTCTTTGAGGCCTATCGTAGTAAAGGAAAGAACTTCATCTAAAAACAAGACGGAAGCATTCTCAGAAAATTCTTTGCAATGATTGAGTTTAACTCACAGAGCTGAGCATATCTTTTGATGGCACAATTTCCAAACACACCTTTTGTGGAATATGCAAGTGGATTTTGGGACTTCTCTGAGAATTTCGTGGAAACGGGATAAACCTCACATAACTGAAGA
>NC_000001.11:121792711-121796598 GCF_000001405.40 Homo sapiens | reverse complement strand
AACTCCTTTGTGAGGCTTGTGTTCACTCCCAGAGTATAACATTGCTTTTCATAGAGCAGTTTTGAAACATTCTTTTCGTAGAGCCTCCAAGTGGACATTTGGAGCGCTTTCAGGCCTGCGGTGGAAAAGGAAATATCTTCACATAAAAACTAGAGAGAAGCATTGTCAGAAACTTCTTGGTGATGATTGCATTCAACTCACGGAGCTGAGGATTCCTTTGGATGCAGCAGTTTGGAAACACTCTTTCGGTGGAATCTGCAAGCGGATATGTGGACCTCTTTGAACATTTCGATGGAAAAGGGATAATCTTCCCGTAAAAGCTAAACGGAAGCATGCTCAGGAACTTCCTTGTGATGTTTGCATTCAACTCACAGAGTTGTACTTTCCTTTTGATAGAGCAGCTTTGAAACCCCCTCTTTCTAGCATCTGCAAGGGGACATTTGGAGGGCTTCGAGGCCTGGGGTGGAAAAGGAAATATCTTCTCATCAAAGCTACATGGAAGCATTCTCAGAAGCTGCTTTGTGATGATTGCATTCAAGTCACCGAGTTGAACATCCCCTTTGATGGGGCCGTTTGGAAACACACTTCTGGGAGAATCTGAAAGGGGAGATTTGGACCTCTTTGAGGCCTATGGCAGTAGAGGATATAACCGCACATAAAAGCGAGACAGGAGCATTCCCAGGAAACGCTTTGTGACCATTGAGTTCAACTCACAGAGCTGAACATTCCTTTGGGTGGAGCAGTTTCCAAACACACTTTGTGTAGAATCTGCAAGTGGAGATTTGGACCGCTCTGAGGATTTCGCTGGATACGGGAGAAAAGTCACCTACGTAAACAGAAGCATTCTCAGAACCTTCTTCGTGATGCTTGCATTCAACTCACAGTGTTGAAACTTTCTCTGACAGTTCAGGTTTGAAACACTCCTTCTGCAGAATCTGCAAGTGGAGATTTGGACCTCTTTGAGGCCTATCGTAGTAAAGGAAAGTACTTCATCTAAAAACAAGGCGGAAGCATTCTCAGAAAATTCTTTGCGATGATTGAGTTTAACTCACAGAGCTGAGCATATCTTTTGATGGGGCATTTTCCAAACACACCTTTTGTGGAATATGCAAGTGGATTTTGGGACTTCTCTGAGAATTTCGTGGGAAACGGGATAAACCTCACATAACTGAAGAGGAACATTCTCAGAACTTCTTGGTGATGTTGGCATTCAACTGACAGAGTTGAACCTTCCCTTGTGAGTTCAGGTTGAAACGCTCTTTTCGTAGGATCTGCAAGTGGAGGTTTGGAACGCTTTGAGGCCTACGGTAGTAAAGGAAACAGCTTCATGTAAAAACTGGACAGAAGCATTCTCAGAAAATACTTTGGGACGATTGAGTTCAACTCACAGAGCTGAACATTCCTTTGGGTGGAGCAGTTTGGAAACACACTTTTTGTAGACTCCGCAGGTGGATATTTGGACCTCTCTGAGGATTTCGTTGGAAACGGGATAACGTCACCTAACTAAACTGAAGCTTTCGCAGAAACATCCTTCTGACGTTGGCCTTCAAAGTCCAGAGTTGAGCCTTCCTTTGGTAGTTCACGTTTGAAACACTCTTTTTGGAGGACCTGCAAGTGGATATTTGGAGCACTTTGTGGCCTTCGTTCGAAACGGCTATCTCTTCACGTAAAATCTAGACAGAAGCCTTCTCAGAAACTTCTCTGTGATGATTGCATGCAACTCACAGAGTTGAACATTCCTTTTGATGGAGCAGTTTTGAAACTCTCTTTTGCTAGCATCTGCAAATGGATAGGTGGAACTCTGTGAAGTCTTCTTTGGAAACGGGAATATCCTCAAGTAAAAAGTAAACAGAAGCATTCTCAGAAACTCCTTTCTGAGGCTTGTGTTCAACTCCCAGAGTATAACATTGCTTTTCATAGAGCAGTTTTGAAACATTCTTTTCGTAGAGCCTCCAAGTGGACATTTGGAGCGCTTTCAGGCCTGCGGTGGAAAAGGAAATATCTTCACATAAAAGCTAGAGGGAAGCATTGTCAGAAACTTCTTGGTGATGATTGCCTTCAACTCACGGAGCTGAGGATTCCTTTGGATGCAGCAGTTTGGAAACACTCTTTGTGTGGAATCTGCAAGCGGATATGTGGACCTCTTTGAACATTTCGATGGAAAAGGGATAATCTTCCCGTAAAAGCTAAACGGAAGCATGCTCAGGAACTTCCTTGTGATGTTTGCATTCAACTCACAGAGTTGTACTTTCCTTTTGATAGAGCAGCTTTGAAACCCCCTCTTTCTAGCATCGGCAAGGGGACATTTGGAGGGCTTCGAGGCCTGGGGTGGAAAAGGAAATATCTTCTCATCAAAGCTACATGGAAGCATTCTCAGAAGCTGCTTTGTGATGATTGCATTCAAGTCACTGAGTTGAACATCCCCTTTGATGGGGCCATTTGGAAACACACTTCTGGTAGAATCTGAAAGGGGAGATTTGGACCGCTTTGAGGCCTATGGCAGTAGAGGATATAACTGCACATAAAAGCGAGACAGGAGCATTCCCAGGAAACGCTTTGTGACCATTGAGTTCAACTCACAGAGCTGAACATTCCTTTGGGTGGAGCAGTTTCCAAACACACTTTGTGTAGAATCTGCAAGTGGAGATTTGGACCGCTCTGAGGATTTCGCTGGATACGGGAGAAAAGTCACCTATGTAAACAGAAGCATTGTCAGAACCTTCTTCGTGATGCTTGCATTCAACTCACAGTGTTGAACCTTTCTCTGACAGTTCAGGTTTGAAACACTCCTTCTGCAGAATCTGCAAGTGGAGATTTGGACCTCTTTGAGGCCTATCGTAGTAAAGGAAAGAACTTCATCTAAAAACAAGACGGAAGCATTCTCAGAAAATTCTTTGCGATGATTGAGTTTAACTCACAGAGCTGAGCATATCTTTTGATGGCGCATTTTCCAAACACACCTTTTGTGGAATATGCAAGTGGATTTTGGGACTTCTCTGAGAATTTCGTGGGAAACGGGATAAACATCCCATAACTGAAGAGGAACATTCTCAGAACTTCTTGATGATGTTGGCATTCAACTGACAGAGTTGAACCTTCCCTTGTGAGTTCAGGTTGAAACGCTCTTTCCGTAGGATCTGCAAGTGGAGGTTTGGAACGCTTTGAGGCCTACGGTAGTAAAGGAAACAGCTTCATGTAAAAACTGGACAGAAGCATTCTCAGAAAATACTTTGGGATGATTGAGTTCAACTCACAGAGCTGAACATTCCTTTGGGTGGAGCAGTTTTGAAACACACTTTTGGAGACTCTGCAGGTGAATATTTGGACCTCTCTGAGGATTTCGTTGGAAGCGGGATAACGTCACCTAACTAAACAGAAGCTTTCGCAGAAACATCTTTCTGACGTTGGCATTCAAAGTCCAGAGTTGAGCCTTCCTTTGGTAGTTCACGTTTGAAACACTCTTTTTGGAGGACCTGCCAGTGGATATTTGGAGCACTTTGTGGCCTTCGTTCGAAACGGCTATATCTTCACATAAAATCTAGACAGAAGCCTTCTCAGAAACCTCTCTGTGATGATTGCATGCAACTCACAGAGTTGAACATTCCTTTTGATAGAGCAGTTTTGAAACTCTCTAGTTTTGCTAGCATCTGCAAATGGATAGGTGGAACTCTGTGAAGACTTCTTTGGAAACGGGATATCTCACGTAAAAGTAAACAGAAGCATTCTCAGAAACTCCTTTGTGAGGCTTGTGTTCCACTCCCAGAGTATAACATTGCTTTTCATAGAGCAGTTTTGAAACATTCTTTTCGTAGAGCCTCCAGTGGACATTTGNAGCGCTTTCCAGCTGGGGTGGAACAGGAANTATCTTTCACATAAAACTAGAGAGA
>NC_000001.11:121781190-121792611 GCF_000001405.40 Homo sapiens | reverse complement strand
ACTCTGTGAGACTTCTTTGGAACGGGAATATCCTCACGTAAAAAGTAAACAGAAGCATTCTCAGAAACTCCTTTGTGAGGCTTGTGTTCAACTCCCAGAGTATAACATTGCATTTTCATAGAGCAGTTTTGAAACATTCTTTTCGTAGAGCCTCCAAGTGGACATTTGGAGCGCTTTCAGGCCTGTGGTGGAACAGGAAATATCTTCACATAAAAACTAGAGAGACGCATTGTCAGAAACTTCTTGGTGATGATCGCACTCAACTCACGGAGCTGAGGATTCCTTTTGATGCAGCAGTTTGGAAACACTCTTTCGGTGGAATCTGCAAGCGGATATGTGGACCTCTTTGAACATTTCGATGGAAAAGGGATAATCTTCCCGTTAAAGCTAAACGGAAGCATGCTCAGGAACTTCCTTGTGATGTTTGCATTCAACTCACAGAGTTGTACTTTCCTTTTGATAGAGCAGCTTTGAAACCCCCTCTTTCTAGCATCTGCAAGGGGACATTTGGAGGGCTTCGAGGCCTGGGGAGGAAAAGGAAATATCTTCTCATCAAAGCTACATGGAAGCATTCTCTGAAGCCGCTTTGTGATGATTGCATTGAAGTCACCGAGTTGAACATTCCCTTTGATGGAGCCGTTTGGAAACACACTTTTGGTAGAATCTGAAAGGGGAGATTTGGACCGCTTTGAGGCCTGTGGCAGTAGAGGATATAACTGCACATAAAAGCGAGACAGGAGCATTCCCAGGAAACGCTTTGTGACCATTGAGTTCAACTCACAGATCTGAACATTCCTTTGGATGGAGCAGTTTCCAAACACACTTTGTGTAGAATCTGCAAGTGGAGATTTGGACCGCTCTGAGGATTTCGTTGGATACGGGAGAAAACTCACCTACGTAAACAGAAGCATTCTCAGAACCTTCTTCGTGATGCTTGCATTCAACCCACAGTGTTGAAGGTTTCTCTGACAGTTCAGGTTTGAAACACTCCTTCTGCAGAATCTGCAAGTGGAGATTTGGACCTCTTTGAGGCCTATCGTAGTAAAGGAAAGAACTTCATCTAAAAACAAGACAGAAGCATTCTCAGAAAATTCTTTGCGATGATTGAGTTTAACTCACAGAGCTGAGCATATCTTTTGATGGCGCGTTTTCAAAACACACCTTTTGTAGAATATGCAAGTGGATTTTGGGACTTCTCTGAGAAATTCGTTGGAAACGGGATAAACCTCACATAACTGAAGAGGAACATTCTCAGAATTTCTTGGTGATGTTGGCATTCAACTGACAGAGTTGAACCTTCCCTTGTGAGTTCAGGTTGAAACGCTCTTTTCGTAGTATCTGCAAGTGGAGGTTTGGAATGCTTTGAGGCCTACGGTAGTAAAGGAAACAGCTTCATGTAAAAACTGGACAGAAGCATTCTCAGAAACTATTTTGGGATGATTGAGTTCAACTCACAGAGCTGAACATTATTTTGGGTGGAGCAGTTCTGAAACACACTTTTTGTAGACTCTGCAGGTGGATATTTGGACGTCACTGAGGATTTCGTTGGAAACGGGATAACGTCACCTAACTAAACAGAAGCTTTCGCAGAAACATCTCTCTGACGTTGGCCTTCAAAGTCCACAGTTTAGC
Organism: Homo sapiens; assembly: GCF_000001405.40. NCBI lineage: Eukaryota > Metazoa > Chordata > Mammalia > Primates > Hominidae > Homo > Homo sapiens. The sequence goes on along the minus strand of NC_000001.11, from coordinate 121,790,979 downwards.
CTTCCTTTGGTAGTTCACGTTTGAAACACTCTTTTTGGAGGACCTGCAAGTGGCTATTTGGAGCACTTTGTGGCCTTCGTTTGAAACGGCTATATCTTCAAATAAAATCTAGACAGAAGCCTTCTCAGAAACTTCTCTGTGATGATTGCATGCAACTCACAGAGTTGAACATTCCTTTTCATAGAGCAGTTTTGAAACTCTCTAGTTTTGCTAGCATCTGCAAATGGATAGGTGGAACTCTGTGAAGACTTCTTTGGAAACGGGAATATCCTCACGTAAAAAGTAAACAGAAGCATTCTCAGAAACTCCTTTGTGAGGCTTGTGTTCAACTCCCAGAGTATAACATTGCTTTTCATAGAGCAGTTTTGAAACATTCTTTTCGTAGAGCCTCCAAGTGGACATTTGGAGCGCTTTCAGGCCTGTGGTGGAAAAGGAAATATCTTCACATAAAAACTAGAGAGAAGCATTGTCAGAAACTTCTTGGTGATGATTGCATTCAACTCACGGAGCTGAGGATTCGTTTGGATGCAGCAGTTTGGAAACACTCTTTCGGTGGAATCTGCAAGCGGATATGTGGACCTCTTTGAACATTTCGATGGAAAAGGGATAATCTTCCCGTAAAAGCTAAACGGAAGCATGCTCAGGAACTTCCTTGTGATGTTTGCATTCAACTCACAGAGTTGTACTTTCCTTTTGATAGAGCAGCTTTGAAACCCCCTCTTTCTAGCATCTGCAAGGGGACATTTGGAGGGCTTCGAGGCCTGGGGTGGAAAAAGAAATATCTTCTCATCAGAGCTACATGGAAGCATTCTCAGAAGCTGCTTTGTGATGATTGCATTCAAGTCACCGAGATGAACACTCCCTTTGATGGAGCCGTTTGGAAACACACTTTTGGTAGAATCTGAAAGGGGAGATTTGGAACGCTTTGAGGCCTATGGCAGTAGAGGATATAACTGCACATAAAAACGAGACAGGAGCATTCCCAGGAAACACTTTGTGACGATTGAGTGCAACTCACAGAGCTGAACATTCCTTTGGATGGAGCAGTTTCCAAACACACTTTGTGTAGAATCTGCAAGTGGAGATTTGGACCGCTCTGAGGATTTCGTTGGATACGGGAGAAAAGTCACCTACGTAAACAGAAGCATTCTCAGAACCTTCTTCGTGATGCTTGCATTCAACTCACAGTGTGGAACCTTTCTCTGACAGTTCAGGTTTGAAACACTCCTTCTGCAGAATCTGCAAGTGGAGATTTGGACCTCTTTGAGGCCTATCGTAGTAAAGGAAAGAACTTCATCTAAAAACAAGACAGAAGCATTCTCAGAAAATTCTTTGCGATGATTGAGTTTAACTCACAGAGCTGAGCCTATCTTTTGATGGCGCATTTTCAAAACACACCTTTTGTAGAATATGCAAGTGGATTTTGGGACTTCTCTGAAAATTTCGTTGGAAACGGGATAAACCTCACATAACTGAAGAGGAACATTCTCAGAACTTCTTTGTGATGTTGGCATTCAACTGAGAGAGTTGAACCTTTCCTTGTGAGTTCAAGTTGAAACGCTCTTTTCGTAGTATCTGCAAGTGGAGGTTTGGAACGCTTTGAGGCCTACGGTAGTAAAGGAAACAGCTTCATGTAAAAACTGGACAGAAGCATTCTCAGAAAATACTTTGGGATGATTGAGTTCAACTCACAGAGCTGAACATTCCTTTGGGTGGAGCAGTTCTGAAACACACTTTTTGTAGACTCTGCAGGTGGATATTTGGACGTCTCTGAGGATTTCGTTGGAAACGGGATAACGTCGCCTAACTAAACAGAAGATTTCGCAGAAACATCCTTCTGACGTTGGCATTCAAAGTCCAGAGTTGAGCCTTCCTTTGGTAGTTCACGTTTGAAACACTCTTTTTGGAGGACCTGCAAGTGGATATTTGGAGCACTTTGTGGCCTTCGTTCGAAACGGCTATATCATCACATAAAATCTAGACAGAAGCCTTCTCAGAAACTTCTCTGTGATGATTGCATACAACTCACAGAGTTGAACATTCCTTTTGATAGAGCACTTTTGAAATTCTCTAGTTTTGCTAGCATCTGCAAATGGATAGGTGGAACTCTGTGAAGACTTCTTTGGAAACGGGAATATCGTCACGTAAAAAGTAAACAGAAGCATTCTCAGAAACTCATTTGTGAGGCTTGTGTTCAACTCCCAGAGTATAACATTGCTTTTCATAGAGCAGTTTTGAAACATTCTTTTCGTAGAGCCTCCAAGTGGACATTTGGGGCACTTTCAGGCCAGTGGTGGAAAAGGAAATATCTTCACATAAAAACTAGAGAGAAGCATTGTCAGAAACTTCTTGGTGATGATTGCATTCAACTCACGGAGCTGAGGATTCCTTTTGATGCAGCAGTTTGGAAACACTCTTTCGGTGGAATCTGCAAGCGGATATGTGGACCTCTTTGAACATTTCGATGGAAAAGGGATAATATTCCCGTAAAAGCTAAACGGAAGCATGCTCAGGAACTTCCTTGTGATGTTTGCATTCAACTCACAGAGTTGTACTTTCCTTTTGATAGAGCAGCTTTGAAACCCCCTCTTTCTAGCATCTGCAGGGGACATTTGGAGGGCTTCGAGGCCTGGGGTGGAAAAGGAAATATCTTCTCATCAAAGCTACATGGAAACATTCTCAGAAACTGCTTTGTGATGATTGCATTCAAGTCACCGAGTTGAACATTCCCTTTGATGGAGCCGTTTGGAAACACACTTTTGGTAGAATCTGAAAGGGGAGATTTGGACCGCTTTGAGGCCTATGGCAGTAGAGGATATAACTGCACATAAAAGCGAGACAGGAGCATTCCCAGGAAACGCTTTGTGACGATTGAGTTCAACTCACAGAGCTGAACATTCCTTTGGGTGGAGCAGTTTCCAAACACACTTTGTGTAGAATCTGCAAGTGGAGATTTGGACCGCTCTGAGGATTTCGTTGGATACGGGAGAAAACTCACCTACGTAAACAGAAGCATTCTCAGAACCTTCTTCGTGATGCTTGCATTCAACTCACAGTGTTGAACCTTTCTCTGACAGTTGAGGTTTGAAACACTCCTTCTGCAGAATCTGCAAGTGGAGATTTGGACCTCTTTGAGGCCTATCGTAGTAAAGGAAAGAACTTCATCTAAAAACAAGACAGAAGCATTCTCAGAAAATTCTTTGCGATGATTGAGTTTAACTCACAGAGCTGAGCATATATTTTAATGGCGCATTTTCCAAACACACCTTTTGTAGAATATGCAAGTGGATTTTGGGACTTCTCTGAGAATTTCGTTGGAATCGGGATAAACCTCACATAACTGAAGAGGAACATTCTCAGAAATTCTTGGTGATGTTGGCATTCAACTGACAGAGTTGAACCTTCCCTTGTGAGTTCAGGTTGAAACGCTCTTTTCGTAGTATCTGCAAGTGGAGGTTTGGGACGCTTTGAAGCCTACGGTAGTAAAGGAAACAGCTTCATGTAAAAACTGGACAGAAGCATTCTCAGAAAATACTTTGGGATGATTGAGTTCAACTCACAGAGCTGAACATTCCTTTGGGTGGAGCAGTTTTGAAACACACTGTTTGTAGACTCAGCAGGTGGATATTTGGACCTCTCTGAGGATTTCGTTGGAAACGGGATAACGTCACCTAACTAAACAGAAGCTTTCGCAGAAACATCCTTCTGACGTTGGCATTCAAAGTCCAGAGTTGAGCCTTCCTTTGGTAGTTCACGTTTGAAACACTCTTTCTGGAGGACCTGCAAGTGGATATTTGGAGCACTTTGTGGCCTTCGTTCGAAACGGCTATATCTTCACATAAAATCTAGACAGAAGCCTTCTCAGAAACTTCTCTGTGATGATTGCATGCAACTCACAGAGTTGAACGTTCCTTTTGATAGAGCAGTTTTGAAACTCTCTTTTGCTAGCATCTGCAAATGGATAGGTGGAACTCTGTGAAGACTTCTTTTGAAACGGGAATATCCTCACGTAAAAAGTAAACAGAAGCATTCTCAGAAACTCCTTTGTGAGGCTTGTGTTCAACTCCCAGAGTATAACATTGCTTTTCATAGAGCAGTTTAGAAACATTCTTTTCGTAGAGCCTCCAAGTGGACATTTGGAGCGCTTTCAGGCCTGTGGTGGAACAGGAAATATCTTCACATAAAAACTAGAGAGACGCATTGTCAGAAACTTCTTGGCGATGATTGCACTCAACTCACGGAGCTGAGGATTCCTTTGGATGCAGCAGTTTGGAAACACTCTTTCGGTGGAATCTGCAAGCGGATATGTGGACCTCTTTGAACATTTCGATGGAAAAGGGACAATCTTCCCGTAAAAGCTAAACGGAAGCATGCTCAGGAACTTCCTTGTGATGTTTGCATTCAACTCACAGAGTTGTACTTTCCTTTTGATAGAGCAGCTTTGAAACCCCCTCTTTCTAGCATCTGCAAGGGGACATTTGGAGGGCTTCGAGGCCTGGGGTGGAAAAGGAAATATCTTCTCATCAAAGCTACATGGAAGCATTCTCTGAAGCTGCTTTGTGATGATTGCATTGAAGTCACAGAGTTGAACATTCCCTTTGATGGAGCCGTTTGGAAACACACTTTTGGTAGAATCTGAAAGGGGAGATTTGGACCGCTTTGAGGCCTATGGCAGTAGAGGATATAACTGCACATAAAAGCGAGACAGGAGCATTCCCAGGAAACGCTTTGTGACCATTGAGTTCAACTCACAGACGTGAACATTCCTTTGGGTGGAGCAGTTTCCAAACACACCTTGTGTAGAATCTGCAAGTGGAGATTTGGACCGCTCTGAGGATTTCGTTGGATACGGGAGAAAACTCACCTACGTAAACAGAAGCATTCTCAGAACCTTCTTCGTGATGCTTGCATTCAACTCACAGTGTAGAACCTTTCTCTGACTGTCAGGTTTGAAACACTCCTTCTGCAGAATCTGCAAGTGGAGATTTGGACCTCTTTGAGGACTATCGTAGTAAAGGAAAGAACTTCATCTAAAAACAAGACAGAAGCATTCTCAGAAAATTCTTTGCGATGATTGAGTTTAACTCACAGAGCTGAGCATATCTTTTGATGGCGCATTTTCCAAACACACCTTTTGTAGAATATGCAAGTGGATTTTGGGACTTCTCTGAGAATTTCGTGGGAAACGGGATAAACCTCACATAACTGAAGAGGAACATTCTCAGAAGTTCTTGGTGATGTTGGCATTCAACTGACAGAGTTGAACCTTCCCTTGTGAGTTCAGGTTGAAACGCTCTTTTCGTAGTATATGCAAGTGGAGGTTTGGAACGTTTGAGGCCTATGGTAGTAAAGGAAAGAGCTTCACGTAAAAACTGGGCAGAAGCATTCTCAGAAAATACTTCGGGACGATTGAGTTCAACTCACAGAGCTGAACATTCCTTTGGGTGGAGCAGTTTTGAAACACACTTTTTGTAGACTCCGCAGGTGGATATTTGGACCTCTCTGAGGATTTCGTTGGAAACGGGATAACGTCACCTAACTAAACAGAAGCTTTCGCAGAAACATCCTTCTGACGTTGGCCTTCAAAGTCCAGAGTTGAGCCTTCCTTTGGTAGTTCACGTTTGAAACACTCTTTTTGGAGGACCTGCAAGTGGATATTTGGAGCACTTTGTGGCCTTTGTTCGAAACGGCTATATCTTCACGTAAAATCTAGACAGAAGCCTTCTCAGAAACTTCTCTGTGATGATTGCATGCAACTCACAGAGTTGAACATTCCTTTTGATGGAGCAGTTTTGAAACTCTCTTTTGCTAGCATCTGCAAATGGATAGGTGGAACTCTGTGAAGACTTCTTTGGAAACGGGAATATCCTCACGTAAAAAGTAAACAGAAGCATTCTCAGAAACTCCTTTGTGAGGCTTGTGTTCAACTCCCAGAGTATAACATTGCTTTTCATAGAGCAGTTTTGAAACATTCTTTTCGTAGAGCCTCCAAGTGGACATTTGGAGCGCTTTCAGGCCTGCGGTGGAAAAGGAAATATCTTCACATAAAAACTAGAGAGAAGCATTGTCAGAAACTTCTTGGTGATGATTGCATTCAACTCACGGAGCTGAGGATTCCTTTGGATGCAGCAGTTTGGAAACACTCTTTCGGTGGAATCTGCAAGCGGATATGTGGACCTCTTTGAACATTTCGATGGAAAAGGGATAATCTTCCCGTAAAAGCTAAACGGAAGCATGCTCAGGAACTTCCTTGTGATGTTTGCATTCAACTCACAGAGTTGTACTTTCCTTTTGATAGAGCAGCTTTGAAACCCCCTCTTTCTAGCATCTGCAAGGGGACATTTGGAGGGCTTCGAGGCCTGGGGTGGAAAAGGAAATATCTTCTCATCAAAGCTACATGGAAGCATTCTCAGAAGCTGCTTTGTGATGATTGCATTCAAGTCACCGAGTTGAACATCCCCTTTGATGGGGCCGTTTGGAAACACACTTCTGGGAGAATCTGAAAGGGGAGATTTGGACCTCTTTGAGGCCTATGGCAGTAGAGGATATAACCGCACATAAAAGCGAGACAGGAGCATTCCCAGGAAACGCTTTGTGACCATTGAGTTCAACTCACAGAGCTGAACATTCCTTTGGGTGGAGCAGTTTCCAAACACACTTTGTGTAGAATCTGCAAGTGGAGATTTGGACCGCTCTGAGGATTTCGCTGGATACGGGAGAAAAGTCACCTACGTAAACAGAAGCATTCTCAGAACCTTCTTCGTGATGCTTGCATTCAACTCACAGTGTTGAAACTTTCTCTGACAGTTCAGGTTTGAAACACTCCTTCTGCAGAATCTGCAAGTGGAGATTTGGACCTCTTTGAGGCCTATCGTAGTAAAGGAAAGTACTTCATCTAAAAACAAGGCGGAAGCATTCTCAGAAAATTCTTTGCGATGATTGAGTTTAACTCACAGAGCTGAGCATATCTTTTGATGGGGCATTTTCCAAACACACCTTTTGTGGAATATGCAAGTGGATTTTGGGACTTCTCTGAGAATTTCGTGGGAAACGGGATAAACCTCACATAACTGAAGAGGAACATTCTCAGAACTTCTTGGTGATGTTGGCATTCAACTGACAGAGTTGAACCTTCCCTTGTGAGTTCAGGTTGAAACGCTCTTTTCGTAGGATCTGCAAGTGGAGGTTTGGAACGCTTTGAGGCCTACGGTAGTAAAGGAAACAGCTTCATGTAAAAACTGGACAGAAGCATTCTCAGAAAATACTTTGGGACGATTGAGTTCAACTCACAGAGCTGAACATTCCTTTGGGTGGAGCAGTTTGGAAACACACTTTTTGTAGACTCCGCAGGTGGATATTTGGACCTCTCTGAGGATTTCGTTGGAAACGGGATAACGTCACCTAACTAAACTGAAGCTTTCGCAGAAACATCCTTCTGACGTTGGCCTTCAAAGTCCAGAGTTGAGCCTTCCTTTGGTAGTTCACGTTTGAAACACTCTTTTTGGAGGACCTGCAAGTGGATATTTGGAGCACTTTGTGGCCTTCGTTCGAAACGGCTATCTCTCACGTAAAATCTAGACAGAAGCCTTCTCAGAAACTTCTCTGTGATGATTGCATGCAACTCACAGAGTTGAACATTCCTTTTGATGGAGCAGTTTTGAAACTCTCTTTTGCTAGCATCTGCAAATGGATAGGTGGAACTCTGTGAAGTCTTCTTTGGAAACGGGAATATCCTCAAGTAAAAAGTAAACAGAAGCATTCTCAGAAACTCCTTTCTGAGGCTTGTGTTCAACTCCCAGAGTATAACATTGCTTTTCATAGAGCAGTTTTGAAACATTCTTTTCGTAGAGCCTCCAAGTGGACATTTGGAGCGCTTTCAGGCCTGCGGTGGAAAAGGAAATATCTTCACATAAAAGCTAGAGGGAAGCATTGTCAGAAACTTCTTGGTGATGATTGCCTTCAACTCACGGAGCTGAGGATTCCTTTGGATGCAGCAGTTTGGAAACACTCTTTGTGTGGAATCTGCAAGCGGATATGTGGACCTCTTTGAACATTTCGATGGAAAAGGGATAATCTTCCCGTAAAAGCTAAACGGAAGCATGCTCAGGAACTTCCTTGTGATGTTTGCATTCAACTCACAGAGTTGTACTTTCCTTTTGATAGAGCAGCTTTGAAACCCCCTCTTTCTAGCATCGGCAAGGGGACATTTGGAGGGCTTCGAGGCCTGGGGTGGAAAAGGAAATATCTTCTCATCAAAGCTACATGGAAGCATTCTCAGAAGCTGCTTTGTGATGATTGCATTCAAGTCACTGAGTTGAACATCCCCTTTGATGGGGCCATTTGGAAACACACTTCTGGTAGAATCTGAAAGGGGAGATTTGGACCGCTTTGAGGCCTATGGCAGTAGAGGATATAACTGCACATAAAAGCGAGACAGGAGCATTCCCAGGAAACGCTTTGTGACCATGAGTTCAACTCACAGAGCTGAACATTCCTTGGGTGGAGCAGTTCCATACACACTTTGTGTAGATCTGCAAGTGGAGATTNGGACCGCTCTGAGGATTTCGCTGGATACGGGAGAAAAGTCACCTATGTAAACAGAAGCATTGTCAGAACCTTCTTCGTGATGCTTGCATTCAACTCACAGTGTTGAACCTTTCTCTGACAGTTCAGGTTTGAAACACTCCTTCTGCAGAATCTGCAAGTGGAGATTTGGACCTCTTTGAGGCCTATCGTAGTAAAGGAAAGAACTTCATCTAAAAACAAGACGGAAGCATTCTCAGAAAATTCTTTGCGATGATTGAGTTTAACTCACAGAGCTGAGCATATCTTTTGATGGCGCATTTTCCAAACACACCTTTTGTGGAATATGCAAGTGGATTTTGGGACTTCTCTGAGAATTTCGTGGGAAACGGGATAAACATCCCATAACTGAAGAGGAACATTCTCAGAACTTCTTGATGATGTTGGCATTCAACTGACAGAGTTGAACCTTCCCTTGTGAGTTCAGGTTGAAACGCTCTTTCCGTAGGATCTGCAAGTGGAGGTTTGGAACGCTTTGAGGCCTACGGTAGTAAAGGAAACAGCTTCATGTAAAAACTGGACAGAAGCATTCTCAGAAAATACTTTGGGATGATTGAGTTCAACTCACAGAGCTGAACATTCCTTTGGGTGGAGCAGTTTTGAAACACACTTTTGGAGACTCTGCAGGTGAATATTTGGACCTCTCTGAGGATTTCGTTGGAAGCGGGATAACGTCACCTAACTAAACAGAAGCTTTCGCAGAAACATCTTTCTGACGTTGGCATTCAAAGTCCAGAGTTGAGCCTTCCTTTGGTAGTTCACGTTTGAAACACTCTTTTTGGAGGACCTGCCAGTGGATATTTGGAGCACTTTGTGGCCTTCGTTCGAAACGGCTATATCTTCACATAAAATCTAGACAGAAGCCTTCTCAGAAACCTCTCTGTGATGATTGCATGCAACTCACAGAGTTGAACATTCCTTTTGATAGAGCAGTTTTGAAACTCTCTAGTTTTGCTAGCATCTGCAAATGGATAGGTGGAACTCTGTGAAGACTTCTTTGGAAACGGGAATATCCTCACGTAAAAAGTAAACAGAAGCATTCTCAGAAACTCCTTTGTGAGGCTTGTGTTCAACTCCCAGAGTATAACATTGCTTTTCATAGAGCAGTTTTGAAACATTCTTTTCGTAGAGCCTCCAAGTGGACATTTGGAGCGCTTTCAGGCCTGTGGTGGAACAGGAAATATCTTCACATAAAAACTAGAGAGA
>NC_000001.11:121779065-121781090 GCF_000001405.40 Homo sapiens | reverse complement strand
TAGTAAAGGAAAGAACTTCATCTAAAAACAAGACGGAAGCATTCTCAGAAAATTCTTTGCGATGATTGAGTTTAACTCACAGAGCTGAGCATATCTTTTGATGGCGCATTTTCCAAACACACCTTTTGTGGAATATGCAAGTGGATTTTGGGACTTCTCTGAGAATTTCGTGGGAAACGGGATAAACATCCCATAACTGAAGAGGAACATTCTCAGAACTTCTTGATGATGTTGGCATTCAACTGACAGAGTTGAACCTTCCCTTGTGAGTTCAGGTTGAAACGCTCTTTCCGTAGGATCTGCAAGTGGAGGTTTGGAACGCTTTGAGGCCTACGGTAGTAAAGGAAACAGCTTCATGTAAAAACTGGACAGAAGCATTCTCAGAAAATACTTTGGGACGATTGAGTTCAACTCACAGAGCTGAACATTCCTTTGGGTGGAGCAGTTTGGAAACACACTTTTTGTAGACTCCGCAGGTGGATATTTGGACCTCTCTGAGGATTTCGTTGGAAACGGGATAACGTCACCTAACTAAACAGAAGCTTTCGCAGAAACATCCTTCTGACGTTGGCCTTCAAAGTCCAGAGTTGAGCCTTCCTTTGGTAGTTCACGTTTGAAACACTCTTTTTGGAGGACCTGCAAGTGGATATTTGGAGCACTTTGTGGCCTTCGTTCGAAACGGCTATATCTTCACGTAAAATCTAGACAGAAGCCTTCTCAGAAACTTCTCTGTGATGATTGCATGCAACTCACAGAGTTGAACATTCCTTTTGATGGAGCAGTTTTGAAACTCTCTTTTGCTAGCATCTGCAAATGGATAGGTGGAACTCTGTGAAGACTTCTTTGGAAACGGGAATATCCTCACGTAAAAAGTAAACAGAAGCATTCTCAGATACTCCTTTGTGAGTCTTGTGTTCAACTCCCAGAGTATAACATTGCTTTTCATAGAGCAGTTTTGAAACATTCTTTTCGTAGAGCCTCCAAGTGGACATTTGGAGCGCTTTCAGGCCTGCGGTGGAAAAGGAAATATCTTCACATAAAAGCTAGAGAGAAGCATTGTCAGAAACTTCTTGGTGATGATTGCATTCAACTCACGGAGCTGAGGATTCCTTTGGATGCAGCAGTTTGGAAACACTCTTTCGCTGGAATCTGCAAGCGGATATGTGGACCTCTTTGAACATTTCGATGGAAAAGGGATAATCTTCCCGTAAAAGCTAAACGGAAGCATGCTCAGGAACTTCCTTGTGATGTTTGCATTCAACTCACAGAGTTGTACTTTCCTTTTGATAGAGCAGCTTTGAAACCCCCTCTTTCTAGCATCGGCAAGGGGACATTTGGAGGGCTTCGAGGCCTGGGGTGGAAAAGAAAATATCTTCTCATCAAAGCTACATGGAAGCATTCTCAGAAGCTGCTTTGTGATGATTGCATTCAAGTCACCGAGTTGAACATCCCCTTTGATGGGGCCGTTTGGAAACACACTTCTGGGAGAATCTGAAAGGGGAGATTTGGACCGCTTTGAGGCCTATGGCAGTAGAGGATATAACCGCACATAAAAGCGAGACAGGAGCATTCCCAGGAAACGCTTTGTGACCATTGAGTTCAACTCACAGAGCTGATCATTCCTTTGGGTGGAGCAGTTTCCAAACACACTTCGTGTAGAATCTGCAAGTGGAGATTTGGACCTCTCTGAGGATTTCGCTGGATACGGGAGAAAAGTCAACTACGTAAACAGAAGCATTCTCAGACTCTTCTTCGTGATGCTTGCATTCAACTCACAGTGTGAACCTTTCTCTGACAGTTCAAGTTTGAAACACTCCTTCTGCAGAATCTGCAAAGTGGAGGATTTGGACCTCTTTGAAGGCTATTCGTAGTTAAAGGAAAGGACTTTCTTCTAAAACCAGAACGGAGCATTTCTCAGAAAATCCTTTGCCATGGATGGAGTTTAATCCACGAGCTGAGCAAATCTTTTTGATGGACCATTTTCAAAACCAACTTTTGTGGAATAGCAAGGGATTTTGGGACTTC
>NC_000001.11:121776457-121778965 GCF_000001405.40 Homo sapiens | reverse complement strand
TCAGAAATTTTCTGGAAGATTGCAGCACTCCCAAAGTGAACATTCCTTGGAGGGGCAGTTTGAAACTCTTCTTTGCTAGCTTCGGCAAAGGATAAGGTGACTTTTTGAAGACTTTTTGGAAACGGGATTTCCTCACTAAAAAGTAACAGAGCATTCTCAGAAACTCCTTTGGGAGCTGTGTTCAACTCCCAGAGTATACATGCTTCTCATAGAGCAGTTTGAAACATTCTTTTCGTAGAGCCTCCAAGTGGACATTGGAGCGCTTTCAGGCCTGCGGTGAAAAAGGAAATATCTTCACATAAAAGCTAGAGAGAAGCATTGTCAGAAACTTCTTGGTGATGATTGCCTTCAACTCACGGAGCTGAGGATTCCTTTGGATGCAGCAGTTTGGAAACACTCTTTCGGTGGAATCTGCAAGCGGATATGTGGACCTCTTTGAACATTTCGATGGAAAAGGGATAATCTTCCCGTAAAAGCTAAACGGAAGCATGCTCAGGAACTTCCTTGTGATGTTTGCATTCAACTCACAGAGTTGTACTTTCCGTTTGATAGAGCAGCTTTGAAACCCCCTCTTTCTAGCATCGGCAAGGGGACATTTGGACGGCTTCGAGGCCTGGGGTGGAAAAGGAAATATCTTCTCATCAAAGCTACATGGAAGCATTCTCAGAAGCTGCTTTGTGATGATTGCATTCAAGTCACCGAGTAGAACATCCCCTTTGATGGAGCCGTTTGGAAACACACCTTTGGTAGAATCTGAAAGGGGAGATTTGGACCGCTTTGAGGCCTATGGCAGTAGAGGATATAACTGCACATAAAAGCGAGACAGGAGAATTCCCAGGAAACGCTTTGTGACCATTGAGTTCAACTCACAGAGCTGAACATTCCTTTGGGTGGAGCAGTTTGCAAACACACTTTGTGTAGAATCTGCAAGTGGAGATTTGGACCGCTCTGATGATTTCGCTGGATACGGCAGAAAAGTCACCTACGTAAACAGAAGCATTCTCAGAACCTTCTTCGTGATGCTTGCATTCAACTCACAGTGTTGAACCTTTCTCTGACAGTTCAGGTTTGAAACACTCCTTCTGCAGAATCTGCAAGTGGAGGTTTGGACCTCTTTGAGGCCTATCGTAGTAAAGGAAATAACTTCATCTAAAAACAAGACGGAAGCATTCTCAGAAAATTCTTTGCGATGCTTGAGTTTAACTCATAGAGCTGAGCATATCTTTTGATGGCGCATTTTCCAAACACACCTTTTGTGGAATATGCAAGTGGATTTTGGGACTTCTCTGAGAATTTCGTGGGAAACGGGATAAACCTCACATAACTTAAGAGGAACATTCTCAGAAGTTCTTGGTGATGTTGGCATTCAACTGACAGAGTTGAACCTTCCCTTGTGAGTTCAGGTTGAAACGCTCTTTTTGTAGTATCTGCAAGTGGAGGTTTGGAACGCTTTGAGGCCTACGGTAGTAAAGGAAACAGCTTCATGTAAAAACTGGACAGAACCATTCTCAGAAAATACTTTGGGATGATTGAGTTCAACTCACAGAGCTGAACATTCCTTTGGGTGGAGCAGTTTTGAAACACACTTTTTGTAGACTCTGCAGGTGGATATTTGGACCTCTCTGAGGATTTCGTTGGAAACGGGATAACGTCACCTAACTAAACAGAAGCTTTCGCAGAAACATCCTTCTGACGTTGGCATTCAAAGTCCAGAGTTGAGCCTTCCTTTGGTAGTTCACGTTTGAAACACTCTTTTTGGAGGACCTGCAAGTGGATATTTGGAGCACTTTGTGGCCTTCGTTCGAAACGGCTATATCTTCACGTAAAATCTAGACAGAAGTCTTCTCAGAAACTTCTCTGTGATGATTGCATGCAACTCACAGAGTTGAACATTCCTTTTGATGGAGCAGTTTTGAAACTCTCTTTTGCTAGCATCTGCAAATGGATAGGTGGAACTCTGTGAAGACTTCTTTGGAAACGGGAATATCCTCACGTAAAAAGTAAACAGAAGCATTCTCAGAAACTCCTTTGTGAGGCTTGTGTTCAACTGCCAGAGTATAACATTGCTTTTCATAGAGCAGTTTTGAAACATTCTTTTCGTAGAGCCTCCAAGTGGACATTTGGAGCGCTTTCAGGCCTGCGGTGGAAAAGGAAATATCTTCACATAAAAGCTAGAGAGAAGCATTGTCAGAAACTTCTTGGTGATGATTGCCTTCAACTCACGGAGCTGAGGATTCGTTTGGATGCAGCAGTTTGGAAACACCCTTTCGGTGGAATCTGCAAGCGGATATGTGGACCTCTTTGAACATTTCGATGGAAAACGGGATAATCTTCCCGTAAAAACTAAACGGAAGCATGCTCAGGAACTTCCTTGTGATGTTTGCATTCAACTCACAGAGTTGTACTTTCCTTTTCATAGAGCAGCTTTGAAACCCCCTCTTTCTAGCATCTGCAAGGGGACATTTGGAGGGCTTCGAGGCATGGGGGGAAAAGGAAATATCTCTCTCA
>NC_000001.11:121768252-121776357 GCF_000001405.40 Homo sapiens | reverse complement strand
GAATTCTTCTGTCTAGCAGAATATGAAGAAATCCCGTTTCCAACGAAGGCCACAAGATGTCAGAATATCCACTTACAGACTTTACAAACAGAGTGTTTCCTAACTGCTCTATGAACAGAAAGGTTAAACTCTGTGAGTTGAACGAACACATCACAACGCAGTTTGTGGGAATGATTCTGTCTAGTTTTGAAACGAAGATATTTCCTTTTCTGCCATTGACATTAAAGCGCTTGAAATCTACACTTGCAAATAGCACAAATAGAGTGTTTCAAATCTGCTCTGTCTAAGGGAACGTTCAACTCTGTGAGTTGAATGCACACAACACAAGGAAGTTACTGGGAATTCTTCTGTCTAGCCTTACATGAAAAAAACCCGTTTCCAACGAAGGACTCTAAGTGGTCAAAATATCCACGTGCAGACTTTACAAACAGAGTGTTTCCAAACCGCTGAATGAAAAGAAAAGTTAAACTGTGAGAGTTGAACGCACACATCACGCAGCAGTTTCTGAGAATGATTCTGTCTAGTTTTTCTACGAAGATATTTCCTTTTCTGCCTTTGGCCCCAAAGCGCTTGGAATCTCCACTTGCAAATTCCACAAAAACAGTGTTTCAAATCTGCTCTCTCTAAATGAAAGTTCAACTCTGTCAGTTGAATACACACAACACAAGGAAGTTCCTGAGAATTCTTCTGTCTAGCATAATATGAAGAAATCCCGTTTCCAACGAAGGCCTCAAAGGGGTCTGAATATCGACTTGCAGACTTTATAAACAGAGTGTTTACTAACTGCTCTATGAAAAGAAAGGTTAAACTCTGTGAGTTGAACACACACATCACAAAGGAGATTCTGAGAATCATTCTGTCTAGTTTTTCTACGAAGATATTTCCTTTTCTACTATTGACCTCAAAGCGGCTGAAATCTCCACTTGCAAATTCCACAAAAAGAGTGTTTCAAGTCTGCTCTGTGTAAAGGATCGTTCAACTCTGTGAGTTGAATACACACAACACAAGGAAGTTACTGAGAATTCTTCTGTCTAGCAGAATATGAAGAAATCCCGTTTCCAACGAAGGCCTCAGAGAGGTCTAAATATCCACTTGCAGACTTTACAAACAGAGTGTTTCCTAACTGCTCTATGAAAAGAAAGGTTAAACTCTGTGAGTTGAACGCACACATCACAAAGGAGTTTCTGAGAATCATTCTGTCTAGTCTTTATACGAAGATATTTCCTTTTCTACCATTGACCTCAAAGCGGCTGAAATCTCCACTTGCAAATTCCACAAAAAGAGTGTTTCAAGTCTGCTCTGTGTAAAGGATCTTTCAACTCTGTGAGTTGAATACACACAACAGAAGGAAGTTACTGAGAATTCTTCTGTCTAGCAGAATATGAAGAAATCCCGTTTCCAACGAAGGCCACAAGATGTCAGAATATCCACTTACAGACTTTACAAACAGAGTGTTTCCTAACTGCTCTATGAACAGAAAGGTTAAACTCTGTGAGTTGAACGAACACATCACAACGCAGTTTGTGGGAATGATTCTGTCTAGTTTTGAAACGAAGATATTTCCTTTTCTGCCATTGACCTTAAAGCGCTTGAAATCTGCACTTGCCAATTGCACAAATAGAGTGTTTCAAATCTGCTCTGTCTAAGGGAACGTTCAAATCTGTGAGTTGAATGCACACAACACAAGGAAGTTACTGGGAATTCTTCTGTCTAGCCTTACATGAAAAAAACCCGTTTCCAACGAAGGCCTCTAAGTGGTCAAAATATCCACGTGCAGACTTTACAAACAGAGTGTTTCCAAACCGCTGAATGAAAAGAAAAGTTAAACTCTGAGAGTTGAACGCACACATCACGCAGCAGTTTCTTAGAATGATTCTGTCTAGTTTTTATACGAAGATATTTCCTTTTCTGCCTTTGGCCCCAAAGCGCTTGAAATCTCCACTTGCAAATTCCACAAAAACAGTGTTTCAAATCTGCTCTCTCTAAATGAAAGTTCAACTCTGTCAGTTGAATACACACAACACAAGGAAGTTTCTGAGAATTCTTCTGTCTAGCAGAATATGAAGAAATCCCGTTTCCAACGAAAGCCTCAAAGAGGTCTGAATATCCACTTGCAGACTTTACAAACAGAGTGTTTCCTAACTGCTCTATGAAAAGAAAGGTTAAACTCTGTGAGTTGAATGCACACATCATAAAGGAGTTTCTGAGAATCATTCTGTCTAGTTTCTATAGGAAGATATTTCCTATTCTACCATTGACCTCAAAGCGGCTGAAATCTCCACTTGAAATTCCACAAAAAGAGTGTTTCAAGTCTGCTCTGTGTAAAGGATCGTTCAACTCTGTGAGTTGAATACACACAACACAAAGAAGTTACTGAGAATTCTTCTGTCTAGCAGAATATGAAGAAATCCCATTTCCAACGAAGGCCTCAAAGAGGTCTAAATATCCCCTTGCAGACTTTACAAACAGAGTGTTTCCTAACTGCTCTATGAAAAGAAAGGTTAAACTCTGTGAGTTGAACGCACACATCACAAAGGGGTTTCTGAGAATCATTCTGTCTATTCTTTATACGAAGATATTTCCTTTTCTACCATTGACCTCAAAGCGGCTGAAATCTCCACTTGAAAATACCAAAAAAAGTGTGTTTCAAGTCTGCTATGTGTAAAGGATCGTTCAACTCTGTGAGTTGAATACACACAACACAAGGAAGTTTCTGAGAATTCTTCTGTCTAGCAGAATATGAAGAAATCCCGTTTCCAACGAAAGCCTCAAAGAGGTCTGAATATCCACTTGCAGACTTTACAAACAGAGTGTTTCCTAACTGCTCTATGAAAAGAAAGGTTAAACTCTGTGAGTTGAACGCACACATCACAAAGGAGTTTCTGAGAATCATTCTGTCTAGTTTCTATAGGAAGATATTTCGTATTCTACCATTGACCTCAAAGCGGCTGAAATCTCCACTTGCAAATTCCACAAAAAGAGTGTTTCAAGTCTGCTCTGTGTAAAGGATCGTTCAACTCTGTGAGTTGAATACACACAACACAAGGAAGTTACTGAGAATTCTTCTGTCTAGCATAACATGAAGAAATCCCGTTTCCAACGAAGGCCTCAAAGAGGTCTGAATATCCCCTTGCAGACTTTACAAACAGCGTGTTTCCTAACTGCTCTATGAAAAGAAAGGTTAAACTCTGTGAGTTGAACGCACACATCGCAAAGGAGTTTCTGAGAATCATTCTGTCTAGTTTTTATACGAAGATATTTCCTTTTCTACCATTTACCTCAAATTGGCTGAAATCTCCACTTGAAAATACCAAAAAAAGTGTGTTTCAAGTCTGCTCTGTGTAAAGGATCGTTCAACTCTGTGAGTTGAATACACACAACACAAGGAAGTTTCTGAGAATTCTTCTGTCTAGCAGAATATGAAGAAATCCCGTTTCCAACGAAATCCTCAAAGAGGTCTGAATATCCCCTTGCAGACTTTACAAACAGAGTGTTTCCTAACTGCTCCATGAAAAGAAAGGTTAAACTCTGTGAGTTGAACACACACATCACAAAGGAGTTTCTGAGAATCATTCTGTCTAGTTTCTATAGGAAGATATTTCCTATTCTACCATTGACCTCAAAGAGGCTGAAATCTCCACTTGCAAATTCCACAACAAGAGTGTTTCAAGTCTGCTCTGTGTAAAGGATCGTTCAACTCTGTGAGTTGAATACACACAACACAAGGAAGTTATTGAGAATTCTTCTGTCTAGCATAGTATCAAGAAATCCCGTTTCCAACGAAGGCCTCAAAGAGGTCTGAATATCCACTTGCAGACTTTATAAACAGAGTGTTTGCTAACTGCTCTATGAAAAGAAAGGTTAAACTCTGTGAGTTGAACGCACACATCACAAAGGAGTTTCTGAGAATCATTCTGTCTAGTCTCTATACGAAGATATTTCCCTTTCTACCATTGACTTCAAATCGGCTGAAATCTCCACTTGCAAATTCCACAAAAAGAGTGTTTCAAGTCTGCTCTGTGTAAAGGATCGTTCTACTCTGTGAGTTGAATACACACAACACAAGGAAGTTTCTGAGAATTCTTCTGTCTAGCAGAATATGAAGAAATCCCGTTTCCAACGAAAGCCTCAAAGAGGTCTGAATATCCACTTGCAGACTTTACAAACAGAGTGTTTCCTAACTGCTCTATGAAAAGAAAGGTTAAACTCTGTGAGTTGAATGCACACATCATAAAGGAGTTTCTGAGAATCATTCTGTCTAGTTTCTATAGGAAGATATTTCCTATTCTACCATTGACCTCAAAGCGGCTGAAATCTCCACTTGAAATTCCACAAAAAGAGTGTTTCAAGTCTGCTCTGTGTAAAGGATCGTTCAACTCTGTGAGTTGAATACACACAACACAAAGAAGTTACTGAGAATTCTTCTGTCTAGCAGAATATGAAGAAATCCCGTTTCCAACGAAGGCCTTAAAGAGGTCTGAATATCCACTTGCAGACTTTACAAACAGAGTGTTTCCTAACTGCTCTATGAAAAGAAAGGTTAAACTCTGTGAGTTGAACGCACACATCACAAAGGAGTTTCTGAGAATCATTCTGTCTAGTTTCTATAGGAAGATATTTCCTATTCTACCATTGACCTCAAAGCGGCTGAAATCTCCACTTGCAAATTCCACAAAAAGAGTGTTTCAAGTCTGCTCTGTGTAAAGGATCGTTCAACTCTGTGAGTTGAATACACACAACACAAGGAAGTTTCTGAGAATTCTTCTGTCTAGCAGAATATGAAGAAATCCCGTTTCCAACGAAAGCCTCAAAGAGGTCTGAATATCCACTTGCAGACTTTACAAACAGAGTGTTTCCTAACTGCTCTATGAAAAGAAAGGTTAAACTCTGTGAGTTGAATGCACACATCATAAAGGAGTTTCTGAGAATCATTCTGTCTAGTTTCTATAGGAAGATATTTCCTATTCTACCATTGACCTCAAAGCGGCTGAAATCTCCACTTGAAATTCCACAAAAAGAGTGTTTCAAGTCTGCTCTGTGTAAAGGATCGTTCAACTCTGTGAGTTGAATACACACAACACAAAGAAGTTACTGAGAATTCTTCTGTCTAGCAGAATATGAAGAAATCCCGTTTCCAACGAAGGCCTCAAAGAGGTCTAAATATCCCCTTGCAGACTTTACAAACAGAGTGTTTCCTAACTGCTCTATGAAAAGAAAGGTTAAACTCTGTGAGTGGAACGCACACATCACAAAGGGGTTTCTGAGAATCATTCTGTCTATTCTTTATACGAAGATATTTCCTTTTCTACCATTGACCTCAAAGCGGCTGAAATCTCCACTTGAAAATTCCAAAAAAAGTGTGTTTCAAGTCTGCTCTGTGTAAAGGATCGTTCAACTCTGTGAGTTGAATACACACAACACAAGGAAGTTTCTGAGAATTCTTCTGTCTAGCAGAATATGAAGAAATCCCGTTTCCAACGAAAGCCTCAAAGAGGTCTGAATATCCACTTGCAGACTTTACAAACAGAGTGTTTCCTAACTGCTCTATGAAAAGAAAGGTTAAACTCTGTGTGTTGAACGCACACATCACAAAGGAGTTTCTGAGAATCATTCTGTCTAGTCTTTATACGAAGATATTTCCTTTACTACCATTGAACTCAAAGCTGCTGAAATCTCCACTTGAAAATACCAAAAAAAGTGTGTTTCAAGTCTGCTCTGTGTAAAGGATCGTTCAACTCTGTGAGTTGAATACACACAACACAAGGAAGTTTCTGAGAATTCTTCTGTCTAGCAGAATATGAAGAAATCCCGTTTCCAACGAAAGCCTCAAAGAGGTCTGAATATCCACTTGCAGACTTTACAAACAGAATGTTTCCTAACTGCTCTATGAAAAGAAAGGTTAAACTCTGTGAGTTGAACGCACTCATCACAAAGGAGTTTCTGAGAATCATTCTGTCTAGTTTCTATAGGAAGATATTTCCTATTCTACCATTGACCTCATAGCGGCTGAAATCTCCACTTGCAAATTCCACAAAAAGAGTGTTTCAAGTCTGCTCTGTGTAAAGGATCGTTCAACTCTGTGAGTTGAATACACACAACACAAGGAAGTTACTGAGAATTCTTCTGTCTAGCATAATATGAAGAAATCCTGTTTCCAACGAAGGCCTCTAGGAGGTCTGAATATCCACTTGCAGACTTTACAAACAGAGTGTTTCCTAACTGCTCTATGGAAAGAAAGGTTAAACTGTGTGAGTTGAACGCACACATCACAAAGGAGTTTCTGAGAATCATTCTGTCTAGTCTTTATACGAATATATTTCCTTTTCTACCATTGACCTCAAAGCGGCTGAAATCTCCACTTGCAAATTCCACAACAAGAGTGTTTCAAGTCTGCTCTGTGTAAAGGATCGTTCAACTCTGTGAGTTGAATACACACAACACAAGGAAGTTACTGAGAATTCTTCTGTCTAGCATAATATGAAGAAAGCCTGTTTCCAAAGAAGGCCTCTAGGAGGTCTGAATATCCACTTGCAGACTTTACAAACAGAGTGTTTCCTAACTGCTCAATGGAGAGAAAGGTTAAACTCTGTGAGTTGAACGCACACATCACAAAGGAGTTTCTGAGAATCATTCTGTCTAGTTTCTATAGGAAGATATTTCCTATTCTACCATTGACCTCAAAGCGGCTGAAATCTCCACTTGAAATTCCACAAAAAGAGTGTTTCAAGTCTGCTCTGTGTAAAGGATCGTTCACCTCTGTGAGTTGAATACACACAACACAAAGAAGTTACTGAGAATTCTTCTGTCTAGCATAATATGAAGAAATCCTGTTTCCAACGAAGGCCTCAAAGAGGTCTGAATATCCACTTGCAGACTTTACAAACAGAGTGTTTCCTAACTGCTCTATGAAAAGAAAGTTTAAACTCTGTCAGTTGAACGCAAACATCACAAAGGAGTTTCTGAGAATCATTCTGTCTAGTTTTTATACGAAGATATTTCTTTTTCTACCATTGACCTCAAAGCGGCTGAAATCTCCACTTGCAAATTCCACAAAAAGAGTGCTTCAAGTCTGCTCTGTGTAAAGGATCGTTCAACTCTGTGAGTTGAATACACACAACACAAGGAAGTTACTGAGAATTCTTCTGTGAAGCAGAATATGAAGAAATCCCGTTTCCAACGAAGGCCTCAGAGAGGTCTGAATATCCCCTTGCAGACTTTACAAACAGAGTGTTTCCTAACTGCTCTATGAAAAGAAACGTTAAACTCTGTGAGTTGAACGCACACATCACAAAGGAGTTTCTGAGAATCATTCTGTCTAGTCTTTATACGAAGATATTTCCTTTTCTACCATTGACCTCAAAGCGGCTGAAATCTCCACTTGAAAATACCAAAAAAAGTGTGTTTCAAGTCTGCTATGTGTAAAGGATCGTTCAACTCTGTGAGTTGAAGACACACAACACAAGGAAGTTTCTGAGAATTCTTCTGTCTAGCAGAATATGAAGAAATCCCGTTTCCAACGAAAGCCTCAAAGAGGTCTGAATATCCACTTGCAGACTTTACAAACAGAGTGTTTCCTAACTGCTCTATGAAAAGAAAGGTTAAACTCTGTGAGTTGAACGCACACATCACAAAGGAGTTTCTGAGAATCATTCTGTCTAGTTTCTATAGGAAGATATTTCCTATTCTACCATTGACCTCAAAGCGGCTGAAATCTCCACTTGCAAATTCCACAAACAGAGTGTTTCAAGTCTGCTCTGTGTAAAGGATCGTTCAACTCTGTGAGTTGAATACACACAACACAAGGAAGTTACTGAGAATTCTTCTGTCTAGCATAACATGAAGAAATCCCGTTTCCAACGAAGGCCTCAAAGAGGTCTGAATATCCCCTTGCAGACTTTACAAACAGAGTGTTTCCCTACTGCTCTATGANNAGAAAGGTTAACTCTGTGAGTTGACGCCACATCGCAAAGGAGTTCTGAGATCATCTGTCTAGTTTTATACGAAGATATTCTTTTTCTACATTACTCAAATGGCTGAATCTCACTTGAAATACAAAAAAATGTGTTTCAGTCTGCTCCTGGTAGGATCGTTCACTCCGGAGTTGA
>NC_000001.11:121758073-121768152 GCF_000001405.40 Homo sapiens | reverse complement strand
CCAACGAAAGCCTCAAAGAGGTCTGAATATCCACTTGCAGACTTTACAAACAGAGTGTTCCTAACTGCTCTATGAAAAGAAAGGTTAAACTCTGTGAGTTGAATGCACACATCATAAAGGAGTTTCTGAGAATCATTCTGTCTAGTTTCTATAGGAAGATATTTCCTATTCTACCATTGACCTCAAAGCGGCTGAAATCTCCACTTGAAATTCCACAAAAAGAGTGTTTCAAGTCTGCTCTGTGTAAAGGATCGTTCAACTCTGTGAGTTGAATACACACAACACAAAGAAGTTACTGAGAATTCTTCTGTCTAGCAGAATATGAAGAAATCCCGTTTCCAACGAAGGCCTTAAAGAGGTCTGAATATCCACTTGCAGACTTTACAAACAGAGTGTTTCCTAACTGCTCTATGAAAAGAAAGGTTAAACTCTGTGAGTTGAACGCACACATCACAAAGGAGTTTCTGAGAATCATTCTGTCTAGTTTCTATAGGAAGATATTTCCTATTCTACCATTGACCTCAAAGCGGCTGAAATCTCCACTTGCAAATTCCACAAAAAGAGTGTTTCAAGTCTGCTCTGTGTAAAGGATCGTTCAACTCTGTGAGTTGAATACACACAACACAAGGAAGTTACTGAGAATTCTTCTGTCTAGCATAACATGAAGAAATCCCGTTTCCAACGAAGGCTTCAAAGAGGTCTGAATATCCCCTTGCAGGCTTTACAAACAGAGTGTTTCCTAACTGCTCTATGAAAAGAACGGTTAAACTCTGTGAGTTGAACGCACACATCGCAAAGGAGTTTCTGAGAATCATTCTGTCTAGTTTTTATACGAAGATATTTCCTTTTCTACCATTTACCTCAAAGTGGCTGAAATCTCCACTTGAAAATACCAAAAAAAGTGTGTTTCAAGTCTGCTCTGTGTAAAGGATCGTTCAACTCTGTGAGTTGAATACACACAACACAAGGAAGTTTCTGAGAATTCTTCTGTCTAGCAGAATATGAAGAAATCCCGTTTCCAACGAAAGCCTCAAAGAGGTCTGAATATCCCCTTGCAGACATTACAAACAGAGTGTTTCCTAACTGCTCCATGAAAAGAAAGGTTAAACTCTGTGAGTTGAACGCACACATCACAAAGGAGTATCTGAGAATCATTCTGTCTAGTTTCTATAGGAAGATATTTCCTATTCTACCATTGACCTCAAAGCGGCTGAATCTCCACTTGCAATTTCCACAACAAGAGTGTTTCAAGTCTGCTCTGTGTAAAGGATCGTTCAACTCTGTGAGTTGAATACACACAACACAAGGAAGTTTCTGAGAATTCTTCTGTCTAGCAGAATATGAAGAAATCCCGTTTCCAACGAAGGCCTCAAAGAGGTCTAAATATCCCCTTGCAGACTTTACAAACAGAGTGTTTCCTAACTGCTCTATGAAAAGAAAGGTTAAACTCTGTGAGTGGAACGCACACATCACAAAGGGGTTTCTGAGAATCATTCTGTCTATTCTTTATACGAAGATATTTCCTTTTCTACCATTGACCTCAAAGCGGCTGAAATCTCCACTTGAAAATTCCAAAAAAAGTGTGTTTCAAGTCTGCTCTGTGTAAAGGATCGTTCAACTCTGTGAGTTGAATACACACAACACAAGGAAGTTTCTGAGAATTCTTCTGTCTAGCAGAATATGAAGAAATCCCGTTTCCAACGAAAGCCTCAAAGAGGTCTGAATATCCACTTGCAGACTTTACAAACAGAGTGTTTCCTAACTGCTCTATGAAAAGAAAGGTTAAACTCTGTGTGTTGAACGCACACATCACAAAGGAGTTTCTGAGAATCATTCTGTCTAGTCTTTATACGAAGATATTTCCTTTTCTACCATTGACCTCAAAGCGGCTGAAATCTCCACTTGAAAATACAAAAAAAAGTGTGTTTCAAGTCTGCTCTGTGTAAAGGATCGTTCAACTCTGTGAGTTGAATACACACAACAAAAGGAAGTTTCTGAGAATTCTTCTGTCTAGCAGAATATGAAGAAATCCCGTTTCCAACGAAAGCCTCAAAGAGGTCTGAATATCCACTTGCAGACTTTACAAACAGAATGTTTCCTAACTGCTCTATGAAAAGAAAGGTTAAACTCTGTGAGTTGAACGCACTCATCACAAAGGAGTTTCTGAGAATCATTCTGTCTAGTTTCTATAGGAAGATATTTCCTATTCTACCATTGACCTCAAAGCGGCTGAAATCTCCACTTGCAAATTCCACAAAAAGAGTGTTTCAAGTCTGCTCTGTGTAAAGGATCGTTCAACTCTGTGAGTTGAATACACACAACACAAGGAAGTTACTGAGAATTCTTCTGTCTAGCATAATATGAAGAAATCCTGTTTCCAACGAAGGCCTCTAGGAGGTCTGAATATCCACTTGCAGACTTTACAAACAGAGTGTTTCCTAACTGCTCTATGGAAAGAAAGGTTAAACTCTGTGAGTTGAACACACACATCACAAAGGAGTTTCTGAGAATCATTCTGTCTAGTTTCTATAGGAAGATATTTCCTATTCTACCATTGACCTCAAAGCGGCTGAAATCTCCACTTGAAATTCCACAAAAAGAGTGTTTCAAGTCTGCTCTGTGTAAAGGATCGTTCAACTCTGTGAGTTGAATACACACAACACAAAGAAGTTACTGAGAATTCTTCTGTCTAGCAGAATATGAAGAAATCCCGTTTCCAACGAAGGACTCAAAGAGGTCTGAATATCCACTTGCAGACTTTACAAACAGAGTGTTTCCTAACTGCTCTATGAAAAGAAAGGTTAAACTCTGTCAGTTGAACGCAAACATCACAAAGGAGTTTCTGAGAATCATTCTGTCTAATTTTTATACGAAGATATTTCTTTTTCTACCATTGACCTCAAAGCGGCTGAAATCTCCACTTGCAAATTCCACAAAAAGAGTGCTTCAAGTCTGCTCTGTGTAAAGGATCGTTCAACTCTGTGAGTTCAATACACACAACACAATGAAGTTTCTGAGAATTCTTCTGTCTAGCAGAATATGAAGAAATCCAGTTTCCAACGAAAGCCTCAAAGAGGTCTGAATATCCACTTGCAGACATTACAGCGTGTTTCCTAACTGCTCTATGAAAAGAAAGGTTAAACTCTGTGAGTTGAACGCACACATCACAAAGGAGTTTCTGAGAATCATTCTGTCTAGTTTCTATAGGAAGATATTTCCTATTCTACCATTGACCTCAAAGCGGCTGAAATCTCCACTTGCAAATTCCACAAAAAGAGTGTTTCAAGTCTGCTCTGTGTAAAGGATCGTTCAACTCTGTGAGTTGAATACACACAACACAAGGAAGTTACTGAGAATTCTTCTGTCTAGCATAACATGAAGAAATCCCGTTTCCAACGAAGGCCTCAAAGAGGTCTGAATATCCCCTTGCAGACTTTACAAACAGAGTGTTTCCTAACTGCTCTATGAAAAGAAAGGTTAAACTCTGTGAGTTGAACGCACACATCGCAAAGGAGTTTCTGAGAATCACTCTGTCTAGTATTTATACGAAGATATTTCCTTTTCTACCATTGACCTCAAAGTGGCTGAAATCTCCACTTGAAAATACCAAAAAAAGTGTGTTTCAAGTCTGCTCTGTGTAAAGGATCGTTCAACTCTGTGAGTTGAATACACACAACACAAGGAAGTTTCTGAGAATTCTTCTATCTAGCAGAATATGAAGAAATCCCGTTTCCAACGAAAGCCTCAAAGAGGTCTGAATATCCCCTTGCAGACTTTACAAACAGAGTGTTTCCTAACTGCTCCATGAAAAGAAAGGTTAAACTCTGTGAGTTGAACGCACACATCACAAAGGAGTTTCTGAGAATCATTCTGTCTAGTTTCTATAGGAAGATATTTCCTATTCTAACATTGACCTCAAAGCGGCTGAAATCTCCACTTGCAAATTCCACAACAAGAGTGTTTCAAGTCTGCTCTGTGTAAAGGATCGTTCAACTCTGTGAGTTGAATACACACAACACAAGGAAGTTATTGAGAATTCTTCTGTCTAGCATAATATCAAGAAATCCCGTTTCCAACGAAGGCCTCAAAGGGGTCTGAATATCCACTTGCAGTCTTTATAAACAGAGTGTTTCCTAACTGCTCTATGAAAAGAAAGGTTAAACTCTGTGAGTTGAACGCACACATCACAAAGGAGTTTCTGAGAATCATTCTCTCTAGTTTCTATACGAAGATATTTCCTTTTCTACCATTGACTTCAAAGCGGCTGAAATCTCCACTTACAAATTCCACAAAAAGAGTGTTTCAAGTCTGCTCTGTGTAAAGGATCGTTCAACTCTGTGAGTTGAATACACACAACACAAGGAAGTTTCTGAGAATTCTTCTGTCTAGCAGAATATGAAGAAATGCCGTTTCCAACGAAAGCCTCAAAGAGGTCTGAATATCCACTTGCAGACTTTACAAACAGAGTGTTTCCTAACTGCTCTATGAAAAGAAAGGTTAAACTCTGTGAGTTGAATGCACACATCATAAAGGAGTTTCTGAGAATCATTCTGTCTAGTTTCTATAGGAATATATTTCCTATTCTACCATTGACCTGAAAGCGGCTGAAATCTCCACTTGAAATTCCACAAAAAGAGTGTTTCAAGTCTGCTCTGTGTAAAGCATCGTTCAACTCTGTGAGTTGAATACACACAACACAAAGAAGTTACTGAGAATTCTTCTGTCTAGCAGAATATGAAGAAATCCCGCTTCCAACGATGGCCTCAAAGAGGTCTAAATATCCCCTTGCAGACTTTACAAACAGAGTGTTTCCTAACTGCTCTATGAAAAGAAAGGTTAAACTCTGTGAGTGGAACGCACACATCACAAAGGGGTTTCTGAGAATCATTCTGTCTATTCTTTATACGAAGATATTTCCTTTTCTACCATTGACCTCAAAGCGGCTGAAATCTCCACTTGAAAATTCCAAAAAAAGTGTGTTTCAAGTCTGCTCTGTGTAAAGGATCGTTCAACTCTGTGAGTTGAATACACACAACACAAGGAAATTTCTGAGAATTCTTCTGTCTAGCAGAATATGAAGAAATCCCGTTTCCAACGAAAGCCTCAAAGAGGTCTGAATATCCACTTGCAGACTTTACAAACAGAGTGTTTCCTAACTGCTCTATGAAAAGAAAGGTTCAACTCTGTGAGTTGAACGCACACATCACAAAGGAGTTTCTGAGAATCATTCTGTCTAGTTTCTATAGGAAGATATTTCCTATTCTACCATTGACCTCAAAGCGGCTGAAATCTCCACTTGCTAATTCCATAAAAAGAGTGTTTCAAGTCTGCTCTGTGTAAAGGATCGTTCAACTCTGTGAGTTGAATACGCACAACACAAGGAAGTTACTGAGAATTCTTCTGTCTAGCATAACATGAAGAAATCCCGTTTCCAACGAAGGCCTCAAAGAGGTCTGTATATCCCCTTGCAGACTTTACAAACAGGGTGTTTCCTAACTGCTCTATGAAAAGAAAGGTTAAACTCTGTGAGTTGAACGCACACATCGCAAAGGAGTTTCTGAGAATCATTCTGTCTAGTTTTTATACGAAGATATTTCCTTTTCTACCATTGACCTCAAAGTGGCTGAAATCTCCACTTGAAAATACCAAAAAAAGTGTGTTTCAAGTCTGCTCTGTGTAAAGGATCGTTCAACTCTCTGAGTTGAATACACACAACACAAGGAAGTTTCTGAGAATTCTTCTGTCTAGCAGAATATGAAGAAATCCCGTTTCCAAAGAAAGCCTCAAAGAGGTCTGAATATCCCCTTGCAGACTTTACAAACAGAGTGTTTCCTAACTGCTCTATGAAAAGAAAGGTTAAACTCTGTGAGTTGAACGCACACATCACAAAGGAGTTTCTGAGAATCATTCTGTCTAGTTTTTATAGGAAGATATTTCCTATTCTACCATTGACCTCAAAGCGGCTGAAATCTCCACTTGCAAATTCCACAACAAGAGTGTTTCAAGTCTGCTCTGTGTAAAGGATCGTTCAACTCTGTGAGTTGAATACACACAACACAAGGAAGTTATTGAGAATTCTTCTGTCTAGCATAATATGAAGAAATCCCGTTTCCAACGAAGGCCTCAAAGGGGTCTGAATATCCACTTGCAGACATTATAAACAGAGTGTTTCCTAACTGCTCTAAGAAAAGAAAGGTTAAACTCTGTGAGTTGAACGCACACATCACAAAGGAGTTTCTGAGAATCATCTGTCTAGTTTCTATACGAAGATATTCCCTTTTCTACCATTGACTTCAAAGCGGCTGAAATCTCCACTTGCAAATTCCACAAAAAGGGTGTTTCAAGTCTGCTCTGTGTAAAGGATCGTTCAACTCTGTGAGTTGAATACACACAACACAAGGAAGTTTCTGAGAATTCTTCTGTCTAGCAGAATATGAAGAAATCCCGTTTCCAACGAAAGCCTCAAAGAGGTCTGAATATCCACTTGCAGACTTTACAAACAGAATGTTTCCTAACTGCTCTATGAAAAGAAAGGTTAAACTCTGTGAGTTGAACGCACTCATCACAAAGGAGTTTCTGAGAATCATTCTGTCTAGTTTCTATAGGAAGATATTTCCTATTCTACCTTTGACCTCAAAGCGGCTGAAATCTCCACTTGCAAATTCCACAAAAAGAGTGTTTCAAGTCTGCTCTGTGTAAAGGATCGTTCAACTCTGTGAGTTGAATACACACAACACAAGGAAGTTACTGAGAATTCTTCTGTCTAGCATAATATGAAGAAATCCTGTTTCCAACGAAGGCCTCTAGGAGGTCTGAATATCCACTTGCAGACTTTACAAACAGAGTGTTTCCTAACTGCTCTATGAAAAGAAAGGTTAAAGTCTGTCAGTTGAACGCAAACATCACAAAGGAGTTTCTGAGAATCATTCTGTCTAGTTTTTATAAGAAGATATTTCTTTTTCTACCATTGACCTCAAAGCGGCTGAAATCTCCACTTGCAAATTCCACAAAAAGAGTGCTTCAAGTCTGCTCTGTGTAAAGGATCGTTCAACTCTGTGAGTTCAATACACACAACACAATGAAGTTTCTGAGAATTCTTCTGTCTAGCAGAATATGAAGAAATCCAGTTTCCAAGGAAAGCCTCAAAGAGGTCTGAATATCCACTTGCAGACATTACAGCGTGTTTCCTAACTGCTCTATGAAAAGAAAGGTTAAACTCTGTGAGTTGAACGCACACATCACAAAGGAGTTTCTGATAATCATTCTGTCTAGTTTCTATTGGGAGATATTTCCTATTGAACCATTGACCTCAAAGCGGCTGAAATCTCCACTTGCAAATTCCACAAAAAGAGTGTTTCAAGTCTGCTCTGTGTAAAGGATCGTTCAACTCTGTGAGTTCAATACACACAACACAATGAAGTTTCTGAGAATTCTTCTGTCTAGCAGAATATGAAGAAATCCAGTTTCCAAAGAAAGCCTCAAAGAGGTCTGAATATCCCCTTGCAGACTTTACAAACAGAGTGTTTCCTAACTGCTCTATGAAAAGAAAGGTTAAACTCTGTGAGTTGAACGCACACATCACAAAGGAGTTTCTGAGAATCATTCTGTCTAGTCTTTATACGAAGATATTTCCTTTTCTACCATTGACCACAAAGCGGCTGAAATCTCCACTTGAAAATACCAAAAAAAGTGTGTTTCAAGTCTGCTCTGTGTAAAGGATCGTTCAACTCTGTGAGTTGAATACACACAACACAAGGAAGTTACTGAGAATTCTTCTGTCTAGCAGAATATGAAGAAATCCCGTTTCCAACGAAGGCCTCTAGGAGGTCTGAATATCCACTTGCAGACTTTACAAACAGAGTGTTTCCTAAATGCTCTATGAAAAGAAACGTTAAACTCTGTGAGTTGAATGCACACATCATAAAGGAGTTTCTGAGAATCATTCTGTCTAGTTTCTATAGGAAGATATTTCCTATTCTACCATTGACCTCAAAGCGGCTGAAATCTCCACTTGAAATTCCACAAAAAGAGTGTTTCAAGTCTGCTCTGTTTGAAGGATCGTTCAACTCTGTGAGTTGAATACACACAACACAAAGAAGTTACTGAGAATTCTTCTGTCTACCAGAATATGAAGAAATCCCGTTTCCAACGAAGGTCTCAAAGAGGTCTGAATTTCCACTTGCAGACTTTACAAACAGAGTGTTTCCTAACTGCTCTATGAAAAGAAAGGTTAAACTCTGTGAGTTGAACGCACACATCACAAAGGAGTTTCTGAGAATCATTCTGTCTAGTTTCTATACGAAGATATTTCCTTTTCTACCATTGACCTTAAAGCGGCTGAAATCTCCACTTGCAAATTCCACAAAAAGAGTGTTTCAATTCTGCTCTGTTTTAAGGATCGTTCAACTCTGTGAGTTGAATACACACAACACAAGGAAGTTTCTGAGAATTCTTCTGTCTAGCAGAATATGAAGAAATCCTGTTTCAAACGAAGGCCTCTAGGAGGTCTGAATATCCACTTACAGACTTTACAAACAGAGTGTTTCCAAACTGCTCTATGAAAAGAAACGTTAAACTCTGTGAGTTGAATGCACACATCATAAAGGAGTTTGTGAGAATCATTCTGTCTAGTTTCTATAGGAAGATATTTCCTATTCTACCATTGACCTCAAAGCGGCTGAAATCTCCACTTGAAATTCCACAAAAAGAGTGTTTCAAGTATGCTCTGTGTAAAGGATCGTTCAACTCTGTGAGTTGAATACGCACAACACAAGGAAGTTACTGAGAATTCTTCTGTCTAGCATAACATGAAGAAATCCCGTTTCCAACGAAGGCCTCAAAGAGGTCTGTATATCCCCTTGCAGACTTTACAAACAGGGTGTTTCCTAACTGCTCTATGAAAAGAAAGGTTAAACTCTGTGAGTTGAACGCACACATCGCAAAGGAGTTTCTGAGAATCATTCTGTCTAGTTTTTATACGAAGATATTTCCTTTTCTACCATTGACCTCAAAGTGGCTGAAATCTCCACTTGAAAATACCAAAAAAAGTGTGTTTCAAGTCTGCTCTGTGTAAAGGATCGTTCAACTCTCTGAGTTGAATACACACAACACAAGGAAGTTTCTGAGAATTCTTCTGTCTAGCAGAATATGAAGAAATCCCGTTTCCAAAGAAAGCCTCAAAGAGGTCTGAATATCCCCTTGCAGACTTTACAAACAGAGTGTTTCCTAACTGCTCTATGAAAAGAAAGGTTAAACTCTGTGAGTTGAACGCACACATCACAAAGGAGTTTCTGAGAATCATTCTGTCTAGTTTTTATACGAAGATATTTCCTTTTCTACCATTTACCTCAAATTGGCTGAAATCTCCACTTGAAAATACCAAAAAAAGTGTGTTTCAAGTCTGCTCTGTGTAAAGGATCGTTCAACTCTGTGAGTTGAATACACACAACACAAGGAAGTTTCTGAGAATTCTTCTGTCTAGCAGAATATGAAGAAATCCCGTTTCCAACGAAAGCCTCAAAGAGGTCTGAATATCCCCTTGCAGACTTTACAAACAGAGTGTTTCCTAACTGCTCCATGAAAAGAAAGGTTAAACTCTGTGAGTTGAACGCACACATCACAAAGGAGTTTCTGAGAATCATTCTGTGTAGTTTCTATAGGAAGATATTTCCTATTCTACCATTGACCTCAAAGAGGCTGAAATCTCCACCTGCAAATTCCACAACAAGAGTGTTTCAAGTCTGCTCTGTGTAAAGGATCGTTCAACTCTGTGAGTTGAATACACACAACACAAGGAAGTTATTGAGAATTCTTCTGTCTAGCATAATATCAAGAAATCCCGTTTCCAACGAATGCCTCAAAGGGGTCTGAATATCCACTTGCAGACTTTATAAACAGAGTGTTTCCTAACTGCTCTATGAAAAGAAAGGTTAAACTCTGTGAGTTGAACGCACACATCACAAAGGAGTTTCTGAGAATCATTCTGTCTAGTTTCTATACGAAGATATTTCCCTTTCTACCATTGACTTCAAATCGGCTGAAATCTCCACTTGCAAATTCCACAAAAAGAGGTTCAAGTC